>NC_000003.12:170523755-170675270 GCF_000001405.40 Homo sapiens | reverse complement strand
CCAATATCCTATCCCATACCATGCTTTGAAAGGATAAAGGCCTGTTATCACTCACCTGCTACAGCATGGCCTTTTAAAGCCTATAAACTCTCCTTACAATTCCCCCATTTTACCTGTCCTAAAACCAGACAAGCCTTACAAGTTAGTTTAGGATCTATGCCTTATCAACCAAATTGTTTTGCTTATCCACCCTGTAGTGCCCAACCCGTACACTCTTTTGTCCTCAATACCTTCCTCCACAACTCACTATTCCGTTCTTGATCTTAAAGATGGTTTTTTCACTATTCCCCTGAACCTCTCGTCCCAGCCTCTCTTTGCTTTCATCTGGACTGACCCTGACACCCATCAGCCCCAGCAGCTTACCTGGGCTGTGCTGCCACAAGGTTTCAGGGACAGTCCTTATTACTTCAGCCAAGCTCTTTCTCATGATTTATTTTCTTTCCACCCCTCTGCTTCTCACCTTATTCAGTATATTGATGACCTTCTTTGTAGCCCCTCCTTTGAATCTTCTCAACAAGACACACTTCTGCTCCTTCAGCATTTATTCTCCAAAGGATATCGGGTATCCCCCTCCAAAGCTCAAATTTCTTCTGCATCCGTTACCTCGGCATAATTCTTCACAAAAACACACGTGCTCTCCCTGCCGATCATGTCTGACTGATCTCTCAAACCCCAACCCCTTCTACAAAACAACTACTCCTTTCCTTCCTGGGCGTGATTGGATACTTCCGCCTTTGGATACCTGGTTTTGCCATCCTAACAAAACCATTATATAAACTCACAAAAGGAAACCTAGCTGACCCCATAGATCCTAAATCCTTTCCCCACTCCTCTTTCCGTTCCTTGAAGACAGCTTTAGAGACTGCCCCCACTCTAGCTCTCCCTGACTCATCCCAACCCTTTTCATTACACACAGCCAAAGTGCAGGGCTGTGCAGTCAGAATTCTTACACAAGGACTGGGATCGTGTCCTGTAGGCTTTTTGTCCAAACAACTTGACCTTACTGTTTTAGGCTGGCCATCATGTCTCTGTGCAGCGGCTGATGCCACCCTAATAATTTTAGAGGCCCTTAAAATCACAAACTATGCTCAACTCACTCTCTACAGCTCTCATAATTTCCAAAATCTATTTTCTTCCTCACACCTGACGCACATACTTTCTGCTCCCTGGCTCCTTCAGCTATACTCACTCTTTGTTGAGTCTCCCACAATTACCATTGTTCCTGGCCCAGACTTCAATCCAGCCTCCCACATTATTCCGGATACCACACCTGACCCTCATAACTGCAACTCTCTGATCCACCTGACGTTCACCACATTTCCCCACATTTCTTTCTTCCCTGTTTCTCACCCTGATCACAGTTGGTTTATTGATGGCAGTTCCACCAGGCCTAATCACCACACAACAGCAAAGGCAGGCTATGCTATAGTACAAGCCACTAGCCCACCTCTTAAAACCTCTCATTTCCTTTCCATTGTGGAAATCTATCCTCAAGGAAATAACTTCTCAATGTTCCATCTGCTATTCTACTACTTCTCAGGGATTATTCAGGCCCCCTCCCTTCCCTACACATCAAGCTTGAGGATTTGCCCCCACCCAGGACTGGCAAATTAGCTTTACTCAACATGCCCCGAGTCAGATAACTAAAATACCTCTTAGTCTAGGTAGACAATTTCACTGGATAAGTAGAGGCCTTTCCTGCAGGTCTGAGAAGGCCACCACAGTCATTTCTTCCCTTCTGTCAGACATCCTCAGTTTAGCCTTCCCACCTCTATACAGTCTGATAACGGACCAGCCTTTATTAGTCAAATCAGCCAAGCATTTTTTCAGGCTCTCAGTATTCAGTGAAACCTTTATATCCCTTATGGTCCTCCGTCTTCAAGAAAAGTAGAATGGACTAAAGGTCTTTTAAAAACACACCTCACCAAGCTCAGCCGCCAACTTAAAAAGGACTGGACAATACTTTTACCACTTTCCCTTCTCAGAATTCAGGCCTGTCCTCAGAATGCTACAAGGTACAGCCCATTTAAGCTCCTGTATAGACACTCCTTTTTATTAGGTACCAGTCTCATTCCAGACACCAGACCAACTTAAACTGTGACCCAAAAAACTTGTCATCCCTATTATTTTCTGTGTAGTCATACTCTTATTCACCTGTTCTCAACTACTCGTACATGCCCTGCTCTTGTTTACACTGCCAGTTTACACTGTTTCTCCAAGCCATCACAGCTGATATCTCCTGGTGCTATCCCCAAACCACCACTCTTAACTCTTAAAGTAAATAAACAATCTTTACTGGCAAGGCTATGCTGAGTCTCCTTAGGCACTCTCTAATTACATGTCCTAGGTCCTCCCAATTCTTGGTCCTTTAATACCTGTTTTTCTCCTTCTCTTATTCCATTTAGTTTTTCAATTCAAACAAAACTGTATCCAGGCCATCACCAATAATTCTAAATGACAAATGTTTCTTCTAACAACCCCACGACATCACCACTTACCACAAAATCTTCCTTCAGCTTAATCTCTCCCACTCTAGGTTCCCACGCCGCCCCTAATCCTGCTCAAAGCAGCCCTGAGAAACATCGCCCATTATCTCTCCATACCACCCCAAAAAAATTTTCACCATCCCAACCCTTTACCACTATTTCATTTTATTTTTCTTATTAATATAAGAAGACAGGAATGTCAGGCCTCTGAGCCCAAGCTAAGCCATCATATCCCCTGTGACCTGCAGGTACACACCCAGATGGCTGGTTCCTGCCTTAACTGATGACATTCCACCACAAAAGAAGTGAAAATGGCCTGTTTCTGCCTTAACTGATGACATTGTCTTGTGAAATTCCTTCTCCTGGCTCATCCTGGCTCAAAATCTCCCCCACTGAGTACCTTGTGACCCCCACTCCTGCCCGCCAGAGAACAACTCCCTTTGACTGTAATTTTCCTTTACCTACCCAAATCTTATAAAATGGCCCCACCTCTATCTCCCTTCTCTGACTCTCTTTTCGAACTCAGCCCGCCTGCACCCAGGTGAAATAAACAGCCATGTTGCTCACACAAAGCCTGTTTGGTGGTCTCTTCACACAGACGTGCATGAAAATACTGCAGGACAGGAAGATAAGGGGAGAGGGGCATCCACCAAAGGTGTGATATTTTTATTCATCAATGAATGATGCACAGATTTTGTCAAAGTAAGTTTTTGTCCTGAAATGCTTGAATCAGCATGAGGCCATGCAGCATAGGACCATGAGAAATGAACCACTGGGTTTTTCCTTTTCCTCTCCCCTGAGCCCAGCTGGCAATGCCAAGTGATAGGTGCTCTGATGGGAAAGGACAAGAGGCCACAGGAACATGGATGGCAGGATCTAAACCAGGGTCTAGAGGAGTCCAGGAAATCTTCCAGGACTAAATTACCTGAAATTTTATGTAGAGGCCTGAAATCTGAGTAAGAGTTAGTCAGGCAAACAGAAAAAGGAAACACATTCTAATCAATGAGAACAGGGAAGGTAAGGGCCAGAGTTGTAAGAGAGTCACCACATTAGAAAAACTGATTGAAATTCAGTATGGCTGGAGCACGGAGTGCAAGAAACTGAGGCAAGATGAGAGAGAATGTGTCTGGAGATAAGCAGATACCAGATCATGAAAACATGTCAAGCCATGACTCTATGCCCAATTCCTTAGTCCATTCATTTATTCACGTATCTATGCACCCCATGCATCTAGTCATCCACCCATCCATCTATCATTTGTCACCCATCCAACAAAAAATACAGTGGTTCTCAACCTTGGCTGTTTATTAGGGTTACATGAAGAACCTCAATACCTCAACCCCAGGCTGTATCCCAGACCAGTTAAAAGGAACCTCTAGGGGTGAAACCCAGGCATCAGTATTTTTCAAATCTCCCCAAGAGATTCTAATGTGTAGCCAATAATGTGTTACCTTATACACTTTCAGGTTAGCCTTGGTCTTGCAAGTAACTGCTCTACTTTCCCCTTACTGCTCTGAGTCTTGGTTTCTCAATCCCAGGCCCATGAGTTTTATAGAACTGGCCATTCAATCTAGGCCACTAGTGGTTTATAGGACACCATTGTGAAAATTAGAACAGGCACTCCTTCCTCAAGGCACATTGCTTCATTCTGTTTGAAATCGTCTTCATATTGTATATTGATTATACTGAACAAATCTGCCCATCTGTCATAAAACTGTTGTATTCAACATACAAATCAATAATGTCTGCAGTACAAATAGAGACTCCTTGCAGTTGCAGCCTGGTACAGTGCACAACCTGTACAACCATAGATGATAAGCCTCTTTTAGTCAAGGGAAGTATGTGATTTCAACCCCGCAAGTATTTTGTTGATCCTCAGCAACTTATTCTTTGGTTCCTTTACAGTCAGGATGATCTATAAATAAGGAGAATGTATGTCTGAAGTTCAAGTGACTACTCTTGGTGCTGAGAAAGATTTTTGTTTTGTTGATTAGTGAATTTATTTAAATAAGAAGTCCTATTAAATGCATAAAAATTAAATCACAGTTTTTTTAATGAGTCATCATTATTTAAAAAAATTATGTTGCATAAAATTGGAACTGTTCCAGAAAATCTGAGAAGGATGCCTGCCAAACTCTAACTTCCAGTCTGAAATTCTACAGCCCAATCTCCAGCTCCCATGATGGGACATTTCTGCCCCAGTCTGCTCTCTTTGCCTAGTGGGTCCCTTGCAGTTTAGAGGCACTGGTGACTGTGATGGTTCTAATTGGGACAGGAGAGGTGCACAGAGCACTGTCCCTGTGGTGCTGTCCCTCCAACACTTCTCATGCAGAGATGGCTGCTAGAGAGGGAATGACTGTGTGGTCTGGTCTCTCTCTCACTAACCCTTTAGGCACTGCCATGTACTATTTCCCGTTACTGCTGTGCACCTGAGCTCACTGATGGCTGAGGAGGGACAAAACTGACAAGAGTGATGATGGTCCCCAAATGCACATGGAGCATTTGCCGCACAGATGATCAAGAGGTAGGGAGATGCACCTTCAGAGGAAGAAGAGCTGTGCTGAGCTGGAAAACACCGCTTGTAAACTTGAGCAGGGCATCTTCATCCCAACTGTGAAGGACAGAAGAAGGACTATCAAAAAACAGTAGCGAAAGCCATCTTTGTCCCCAGGGAACTATCATTCAAGGTGGGGAAACATGAGGATGTGGCCAAGCCCCCATCCTTCATAGAATTATCTGCCCAAATAATCTAAGGGCACAGTGATATAAGTCATGTTCTGAAAGATAAGATTCTAGTTCCAGTCCAGATGTTAATCAGCTGTTTAATTGTGGGCAAGTCCTCTCATCACCTGGTACCTCTGAGTCCACATTGTGGAATGAGGGTGAACTAAATGACCTGCAAGCTCCCTTGCAGATCCAGAGGCAGCATGGCATAGAGAGTAGAGACTCTGGAGCCAGAAAAAAACACCTGGATGTACATCACGACTCTGCCTCCAGATAGCTGTGTGACCTTGAGCAAGTGACTCCTCCTCTCTGTGCTCAAGTAAAATAGGGGACTTAATTGTTACCTACTTCATAGACTTGCTGAGGGGTTTAAATAAGATCACATGTGTAAAGTGCTGAGAACAGAGCCTGGCACATTGAGCTTGGTTAGTAACTCTTCTACTAGAATGGAGACTACATGAGGGCAATAATCTATGTCTGTTTTGATCACTGATATGCTTATTACAGTGTCTGATAACAGTATCTGGCACATAGCAGGCACTCAGTAAATATTTGTTGAAAGAATGAATGAGTTAATAAACATTCTGACTCTATGCCCTCATAATTAGGGTTTGCACTTATTGTGCTTGTCTGTCCTCTCTCTCCCTCCATTGATGTTTCCCACCATCATTCTTACTATAGTGTGGAGGATCTTGAGGAAGCAAGAGAGAAGAACAGAAAATGTAAATTTCAAAAAACACCTTAGTTATTATGACAGGTTGCATTTTCCAAAAATGGTTTTAACAATATCAACCCACATGCTCTTGCAGAAGAACTTTGCCACATCCCCACCAAGACATGGAGGGAAGCTAGACATTCCCTCTACTTGAATATGACCAGGCCTTTGACTGCCTTAACTAATAGAGTATGGAGGATGTGACATTATGTGACCTTCCAAGACCAAGTCATAAAATGTGATACAGCTTCTGCCAGACTCTCTGACTTGAAATACTCAACTTAGGACACTGAGCTGCCATGTGAGAAGTCCAAGGCTGCCATGCTGTAGGGAAGCCCAAGCTTGCTGGTCCTCATCAGGTTACACTTCAGCAGGGCCCCTGTTTTTTCTCTTTGCATCCAGTAACTGTTAGGCCCTTCAACAACCATTTCACATGGCTCTTTCTTGAGAGGTTTAATATTTTCTTCCTTTTCCCATAATTTGCCAACATTTTTCTCAAGTCTCAAGATGACAATAACTCCAACATTTTCTTTTTGTCATTAATGCTTGACTCATTATAAAAGGAAAGACCTATAAATTCTACATCCACCCTGGTAAGCATAATAAAGATTTGATTCCGGGGGGAAAGGCACATTGATCATGATGAAGGAGGTACTATTTATCATAATGGCTATTCGGGGTGCATATTTGCAAATTTTTAAGAATAACAATGCCTTGGGCACTTTGAAATAATAAAGTATTCAGGAGCTATTCACATAAATCTTACCTGATAAATTCAAGGCTGGCTACTCCTCTGGAACAGAAAGGAAGTCAGAGTTTGGTGGAGCCAAGATGGCTGAATAGGAACAGCTCCAGTCTACAGCTCCTAGCGTGAGCGACGCAGAAGACGGGTGATTTCTGCATTTCCATCTGAGGTACCGGGTTCATCTCACTAGGGAGTGCCAGAGAGTGGGTGCAGGACAGTGGGTGCAACGCACCATGCATGAGCTGAAGCAGGGCGAGACATTGCCTCAATCAGGAAGTGCAAGGGGTCAGGGAGTTCCCTTTCCTAGTCAAAGAAAGGGGTGACAGATGGCACCTGGAAAATTGGGTCACTCCCACCCTAATACTGTGCTTTTCCAACGGGCTTAAAAAACAGCACACCAGGAGATTATATCCCACACATGGCTCAGAGAGTCCTATGCCCATGGAGTCTCGCTGATTGCTAGCACAGCAGTCTGAGATCAAACTGCAAAGTGGCAGCAAGGCTGGGGGAGGGGTGCCTGCCATTGCCTAGGCTTGGTTAGGTAAACAAAGCAGCTGGGAAGCTCAAACTGGGTGGAGCCCACCACAGCTCAAGGAAGCCTGCCTGCCTCTGTAGGCTCCACCTCTGGGGGCAGGGCACAGACAAACAAAAAGACAGCAGTAACCTCTGCAGACTTAAATGTTCCTGTCTGACAGCTTTGAAGAGAGTAGTGGTTCTCCCAGCACGCAGCTGGAGATCTGAGAACGGGCAGACTGCCTCCTCAAGTGGGTCCCTGACCCCCGAGCAGCCTAACTGGGAGGTACCCCCCAGTAGGGGCAGACTGACACTTCACACAGCCGGGTACTCCTCTGAGACAAAACTTCCAGAGGAACGATCAGGCAGCAGCATTTGCGGTTCACCAAAATCCGCTGTTCTACAACCACCGCTGTTCTGCAGCCACCACTGCTGATACCCAGGCAAATAGGGTCTGGAGTGGACCTCTAGCAAACTCCAACAAACCTGCAGCTGAGGGTCCTGTCTGTTACAAGGAAAACTAACAAACAGAAAGGACATCCACACCAAAAACCCATCTGTACGTCGCCATCATCAAAGACCAAAAGTAGATAAAACCACAAAGATGGGGAAAAAACAGAGCAGAAAAACTGGAAACTCTAAAAAGCAGAGCACCTCTCCTCCAAAGGAACGCAGTTCCTCACCAGCAATGGAACAAAGCTGGACAGAGAATGACTTTGACGAGTTGACAGAAGAAGTCTTCAGATGATCAAACTACTCCGAGCTATAGGAGGAAATTCAAACCAATGGCAAAGAAGTTGAAAACTTTGAAAAAAATTAGATGAATGTATAACTAGAATAATCAATGCAGAGAAGTCCTTAAAGGAGCTGATGGAGCTGAAAGCCAAGGCTTGAGAACTACCTGAAGAATGCAGAAGCCTCAGGAGCCGATGCGATCAACTGGAAGAAAAGGTATCAGTGATGGAAGATGAAATGAATGAAATGAAGTGAGAAGGGAAGTTTAGAGAAAAAAGAATAAAAAGAAACCAACAAAGCCTCCAAGAAATATGGGACTATGTGAAAAGACCAAATCTACGTCTGATTGGTGTATCTAAAAGTGACGGGGAGAATGGAACCAAGTTGGAAAACACTCTGCAGGATATTATCCAGGAGAACTTCCCCAATCTAGCAAGGCAGGCCAACATTCAGATTCAGGAAATACAGAGAACGCCACAAAGATACTCCTCGAGAAGAGCAACTCCAAGACACATAATTGTCAGATTCACCAAAGTTGAAATGGAAAAAATGTTAAGGGCAGCCAGAGACAAAGGTCGGGTTACCCACAAAGGGAAGCCCATCAGACTAACAGCAGATCTCTCAGCAGAAACTCTACAAGCCAGAAGAGAGTGAGGGCCAATATTCAACATTCTTAAAGAAAAGACTTTTCAACCCAGAATTTCATATCCGGCCAAACTAAGTTTCATAAGTGAAGGAGAAATAAAATACTTTACAGACAAGCAAATGCTGAGAGATTTTGTCACCACCAGGCCTGCCCTAAAAGAGCTCCTGAAGGAAGCGCTAAACATGGAAAGGACAACTGGTACCAGCCACTGCAAAAACATGCCAAATTGTAAAGACCATCAAGGCTAGGAAGAAACTGCATCAACTAACGAGCAAAATAACCAGCCAACGTCATAATGACAGGATCAAATTCACACATAACAATATTAACCTTAAATGTAAATGGGCTAAACGCTCCAATTAAAAGACATAGATTGGCAAATTGGATAAAGAGTCAAGACCCATCAGTGTGCTGTATTCAGGAAACCCATCTCATGTGCAGAGACACACATAGGCTCAAAATAAAGGGATGGAGGAAGATCTACCAAGCAAATGGAAAACATAAAAAGGCAGGGGTTGCAATCCTAGTCTCTGATAAAACAGACTTTAAACCAACAAAGATCGAAAGAGACAAAGAAGGCCATTACATAATGATAAAGGGACCAATTCAACAAGAAGAGCTAACTATCCTAAATATATATGCACCCAATACAGGAGCACCCAGATTCATAAAGCAAGTCCTGAGTGACCTACAAAGAGACTTAGACTCCCACACAATAATAATGGGAGGCTTTAACACCCCACTGTCAACACTAGACAGATCCACAAGACAGAAAGTTAACAAGGATGCCCAGGAATTGAACTCAGCTCTGCACCAAGCAGACCTAATACACATCTACAGAACTCTCCACCCCAAATCAACAGAATATACATTTTTTTCAGCACCACACCACACCTATTCCAAAATTGACCACATACTGGGAAGTAAAGCTCTCCTCAGCAAATGTAAAAGAACAGAAATTATAACAAACTGTCTCTCAGACCACAGTGCAATCAAACTAGAACTCAGGATTAAGAAACTCACTCAAAACTGCTCAACTACATGGAAACTGAACAACCTGCTCCTGAATGACTACTGGGTACATAACAAAATGAAGGCAGGAATAAAGATGTTCTTTGAAACCAATGAGAACAAAGACACAACATACCAGAATCTCTGGGACACATTCAAAGCAGTGTGCAGAGGGAAATTTATAGCACTAAATGCCCACAAGAGAAAGCAGGAAAGATCCAAAATTGACACCCTAACATCACAATTAAAAGAACTAGAAAAGCAAGAGCAAACACATTCAAAAGCTAGCAGAAAGCAAGAAATAACTAAAATCAGAGTAGAACTGAAGGAAATAGAGACACAAAAAACCCTTCAAAAAATTAATGAATCCAGGAGCTGGTTTTTTGAAAAGATCAAGAAAATTGATAGACACTAGCAAGACCAATAAAGAAGAAAAGAGAGAAGAATCAAATAGATGCAATACAAAATGATAAAGGGGATATCACCACTGATCCCACAGAAATACAAACTACCATCAGAGAATACTACAAATACCTCTACGCAAATATACTAGAAAATCTAGAAGAAATGGATAAATTCCTCAACACATACAACCTCCCAAGACTAAACCAGGAAGAAGTTGAATCTCTGAATAGACCAATAACAGGCTCTGAAATTGTGGCAATAATCAATAGCTTACCAACCAAAAAGAGTCCAGGACCAGATGGATTCACAGCCGAATTCTACCAGAGGTACAAGGAGGAGCTGGTACCATTCCTTCTGAAACTATTCCAATGAATAGAAAAAGAGGGTATCCTCCCTAACTCATTTTATGAGGCCAGCATCATCCTGATACCAAAGCCTGGCAGAGACACAACCAAAAAAGAGAATTTTAGACCAATATCCTTGATGAACATTGATGCAAAAATCCTCAATAAAATACTGGCAAACCAAATCCAGCAGCACATCAAAAAGCTTAACCACCATAATCAAGTGGGCTTCATCCCTGGGATGCAAGGCTGGTTCAACATACGCAAATCAATAAATGTAATCCAGCATATAAACAGAACCAAAGACAAAAACCACATGATTATCTCAATAGATACAGAAAAGGCCTTTGACAAAATTCAACAACCCTTCATGCTAAAAACTCTCAATAAATTAGGTATTGATGGGACGTATCTCAAAATAATAAGAGCTATCTATGACAAACCCACAGCCAATATCATACTGAATGGGCAAAAACTGGAAACATTCCCTTTGAAAACTGGCACAAGACAAGGATGCCCTCTCTCACCACTCCTATTCAACATAGTGTTGGAAGTTCTGGCCAGGGCAATTAGGCAGGGGAAGGAAATAAAGGGTATTGAATTAGGAAAAGAGGAAGTCAAATTGTCCCTGTTTGCAGATGACATGATTGTGTATCTAGAAAACCCCATTGTCTCAGCCCAAAATCTCCTTAAGCTGATAAGCAACTTCAGCAGAGTTTCAGGATACAAAATCAATGTATAAAAATCACAAGCATTCTTATACACCAATAAGAGACAAACAGAGAGCCAAATCATGAGTGAACTCCCATTCACAATTCCTTCAAAGAGAATAAAATACCTAGGAATCCAACTTACAAGGGACATGAAGGACCTCTTCAAGGAGAACTACAAACCACTGCTCAATGAAATAAAAGAGGATACAAACAAATTGAAGAACATTCCATGCTCATGGGTAGAAAGAATTAATATCGTGAAAATGGCCATACTGCCCAAGGTAATTTATAGATTCAATGCCATCCCCATCAAGCTACCAATGACTTTCTCCACAGAATTGGAAAAAACTACTTTAAAGTTCATATGGCACCAAAAAAGAGCCCGCATCGCCAAGTCAATCCTAAGCCAAAAGAACAAAGCCAGAGGCATCACGCTACCTGACTTCAAACTATACTACAAGGCTACAGTAACCAAAACAGCATGGTACTGGTACCAAAACAGAGGTACAGATCAATGGAACAGAACAGAGCCCTCAGAAATAACGCCACATATCTACAACTATCTGATCTTTGACAAACCTGACAAAAACAAGAAATGGGGAAATGATTCCCTATTTAATAAATGGTGCTGGGAAAACTGGCTAGTCATATGTAGAAAGCTGAAACTGGATCCCTCCCTTACACCTTATACAAAAATTAATTCAAGATGGATTAAAGACTTACATGTTAGACCTAAAACCATAAAAACCCTAGAAGAAAACCTAGGCAATACCATTCAGGACATAGGCATGGGCAAGGACTTCATGTCTAAAACACCAAAAGCAATGGCAACAAAAGCCAAAATTGACAAATGGGATCTAATTAAACTAAAGAGCTTCTGCACAGCAAAAGAAACTACCATCAGAGTGAACAGGCAACCTACAAAATGGGAGAAAATTTTCGCAACCTACTCATCTGACAAAGGGCTAATATCCAGAATCTACAATGAACTCAAACAACCCCATCAAAAAGTGGGCGAAGGACATGAACAGACACTTCTCAAAAGAAGACATTTATGCAGCCAAAAAACACATGAAAAAATGCTCAGCATCACTGGCCATCAGAGAAACACAAATCAAAACCACAATGAGATACCATCTCACACCAGTTAGAATGGCGATCATTAAAAAGTCAGGAAACAACAGGTGCTGGAGAGGATGTGGAGAAGTAGGAACACTTTTACACTGTTGGTGGGACTGTAAACTAGTTCAACCATTGTGGAAGTCAGTGTGGTGATTCCTCAGGGATCTAGAACTAGAAATACCATTTGACCCAGCCATCCCATTACTGGGTATATACCCAAAGGACTATAAATCATGCTGCCATAAAGACGTATGCACACGTATGTTTATTGTGGCACTATTCACAATAGCAAAGACTTGGAACCAACCCAAATGTCCAACAACGATAGACTGGATTAAGAAAATGTGGCACATATACACCATGGAATACTATGCAGCCATAAAAAATGATGAGTTCATGTCCTTTGTAGGGACATGGATGAAACTGGAAACCATCATTCTCAGCAAACTATCGCAAGGACAAAAAACCAAACACCACACGTTCTCACTCATAGGTGGGAATTGAACAATGAGAACACATGGACACAGGAAGGGGAACATCACACTCTGGGGACTGTTGTGGGGTGGGGGGAGGGGGGAGGGATAGCATTAGGAGATATACCTAATGCTAAATGACGAGTTAATGGGTGTAGCACACCAACATGGCACATGTATACATATGTAACAAACCTGCACATTGTGCACATGTACCCTAAAACTTAAAGTATAATAATAAAATTAAAAAAAAAGAAAGAAAGAAAGTCAAAGAGAGAACAAGCTCATGTCAAACACAAAATGTCTTGGATGCCAAAAAGGAGTTCTCCAATGTTGAGAACAGAAAATAAGAAAACATAATTTCAAAGTTACCATAGGAGACAACTGAGGTCTGACTTCACAAAAGCAGCTTATAGTGTGGTGGAGAGAGCCCAGAATCTGGAGTCAGAAACCTTCATTCATATTCCAGCTCTGTCACATAGCAGCTATATAACTTAAACAATATCTCCAAGACCTAATTTCTTTTATTTATTTCAATACTTTTTGGGGTACAGGTGGTTTTTGGTTATGGGGATAAGATTTTTTAGTGGTGATGTCTGTGTCTGAGATATTAGTGCACCTGTCACCCAAGCAGTGTACACTATACCCAATATGTAGTCTTTTATCCCTCAACCCCCTCCAAGCCTCCCTTCCTGAGTCCCCAAAGTCCATTATATCACTCTTATGCCTTTGTGTCCTCATAGCTTAGCTCTCACTTATGAGTGAGAACATACAATATTTGCTTTTCCATTCCTGAGTTGCTTCACTTACAATAATGGCCTCTAGCTCCATCCAAGTTGCTGCAAGAGACATTATTTCATTTCTTTTTATAACTGAGTAGTATTCCATGGTGTATATGTAACACATTTTCTTCATCCATTCATCAGCAAGATGTAATTTCTTTATTTGTCAAATAAGATCTGCTTTTAAAAGTATGTAAAAAAAAGAATTGAGAAAAAGATATTCAAACAAAAACTTACACATAAATACTCATAGCAGCACCATTCACAATAGCCAATAGGTGGAAACAACCCAAATGTCTATCAACCAGTAAATGAATTAACAAAATGTGGTGTATCCATAAAATGGAATATTATTTCATTATAAAAAGGAATGAAGTGCCGGCTCATGCTACAACATGGGTGAACCTTGAAAACAATATGTTAAGTGAGAGAAGCCAGACATAAAATACTACATAGTGTATATCACTATTTATATAAAATGACAAGAATAGGCAAATCCATCAAGACAGAAAGCAGATTAGTGGCTGCCAGGGGCTCGGAGTAGAGGGAAGTGACTTCTTAATAGGAACCGGATTTGCTTTTGAGATGAAGCAAATGTTTTTGAACTAGATAGTGGTAATAAATGTACGACATTGTCAACGTCCTAAATGCCACTTAATTGTACAATTTAGAGTTGTTAAAATGGTGAATTTTATGTTATGTATATTTTACCACCCCAACAAAATAAAGTATTGTAAAGCATCTAGCACAACTTCCAGCACTTCACTGGAGTTCAATAAATAGGATTTCTTCTTTCTCTTTGATGACCTATTGCTAAGTTTGTCTGCTGTCCCCCAGGGTCCACAAAATTGAGATGAGCACACAGTGCATCTCATTGGCAGAGCCAAACTTGCACCCAGAACCCTGGTGGACAGGTGGTCTAGGAAATGTACCACTAAAGAAGATGTCAGCAAAGAGCTAAGAAATAATACCAAGCACAGAAAGGCACCATGTTGTCTCTGCAAGGATGACATTCCCACAGAGTTTGCTGCTAGTGCAGTTGCTTTCACTCCCTCATTGCCACATATTAATACGGTCCCATCCTTAAGACATGTGATCCTGGGCCCCATCATCAGAGATTCTTCTTCAGGAGGTCTGGAATTGGGCTTAGCATTGGAACTTTTAAAATCTCTAAAATAACTCTGCACAGCCAGAAGTGAAAGCCACAGCCTAGATAGTGGGCCAGGACAAGAATACAAGGAGAGAAATAGAGAAAAGAAATCCTATGTAAACCTGAAAAAAGCCAGGAGAACTTTCGCTTCCAACTGGGGGAGGAATGGGGAAGGAGATGGAGAACACTTTGTGGAGGAGATGGCATCTGTAGCAGAGAGAGTTGGAATACGAATTCACCGGGCAAAAGCCATTCCAGGTCAAGGAAATGGGTGGAGCCAAGCCCTGGCAGTAGAAGAGCCCAAGTCCTGTGTGAGGATCCGCAGCTTGGTGTTATGGACTGAATGTTGTGTCCTCCCAAGTATTCATATGTTGAAAAACTAACTCCTCCATTTGTGGCTGTAATAAGAGTAAGGAAGGAAGTAATTAAGACTAAATGAGGTCATAAAGGTGGGGCCCTGATTTAATGGGATTATTGTCCAAATGAGAAGAGACACCAGAGAGCTGTAATAAAGGAGAGGCCATGTGAGGACACAGTGTGGCTGCCTACAAGCGAAAAACGGAGCCCTCACAAAAAACTGGCACTTTCATCTCGGGCTTTTAGCATCCGGAACTGTGAGAAAATAAACTTCTGTTGCTTAAGCCACCCAGTCTATGTATTTTGTTATGGCAGCCCAAGGAGACTAATACACATGGCTAGAGCATAGAAGGTTCAGTAGACAATGGTTTCATCTGGAAGGTAGGCCGGGACTAGATCCTGGAAGACTTTGCATGCCAGTCCTTGGGTAGATAATATTTTAGAAGAATTGCTGTTTCCATAATGAACTTCAACTAAGAAAGGCCCAGTGTAAAGATATGCTTGTTACTTCTGGGAAAATTCTTACTTGAAAATGACCTCCTGCCCTCAAAACACGCCTGGGAAATCTGTCCTATTAAATTATTGAAATATGCAGGCTTCAGGTGATTTGTTCTGAAGTCCAGGCTGGGTCTTTGGGTGAGCAGAAGACCTGGCTTAATTAGAAGCCCTGGGTTTTCACCAGAGCTTCCTAAGGCCCCCCTTCTCAATATTCACTTTTCCAGCAGGACATAGGAGTCTCATTAAACAAATAGCTTTTTCTCCTGGAGAACAGCGATCACTGAAGAACAAAGGTGAAATCAGTAACTTTGTCAAGAAGCGAAGAGAAGGCCAGGTGGTCGGGGCTTTTCTCCATAAGTTCTGGAGAGAGGAGCCACAGTGATTGTTTATTTCTTGTTCTCCTCCACTGAAGAGTGATCATTACCAGAAATCCCTGGCACACCAATGACCTGGAACAAACAACAATGCCCTTAGTACAGTTCTCTCTTCCTCCACATCTGTCAGATGCTGTGTGGAGTATTTTACATATGATGTGTCATTTAATCTTTATAACAATTCTATGAGTTAAATTGCCTTGCTCAGGCTGGGCACAGTGGCTCATGCCTGTAATCCCAGCACTTTGAGAGACTGAGGCAGGTGGCTCACTTGAGCTCAGGAGTTCAAGATCAGCCTGGGCAACATGGCAAAACCCCGTCTCTACAAAAATTAGCCTGGTATGGTAGTGCATGCCTGTAGTCCCTGCTACTCAGGAAGCTGAGGTGAGAGAATCTCTTGAGCCCAGGAGGTCAAGGCTGCAGTGAGTGAAGATAGCACCACTGCACTCCAGCCTGGGCAAAAGAGCGAGACCCTGTCTCAAAAAATAATAAATGAATTGGCTTACCCTACTTTACAGATGAGGATATTAAAGTTCAGAGAGGAACAAATGTGTTCTTTTTTGGAAAGGAGCCATGAAAGCAAATCCAAATAGAATCTCAAGGCCACTCTTACTTTAACAGATCATGTACCCCCTCTCCCCTTCCCCATGCCACTGGACTGAAAGGAAACCAGCAACAGCCTGGAACGGGTGATCCCAACCACCCCATCACAAATGGAGATTCCCATTAGAAAGTCAATACAGGGGAAGGGACAATAGAGGTCAGAGAGTCATCTTCATTTGCCTTGCGTGCAACTGTGGCATGTGTTTTTGCAAAATCTCCCCTGGTGATTCTCACTTGTGCCCAAGTTAGGGACTTCTGTACTAGATTAGGCAGCCTCCCATCAATGGGTCCAAGACAAAAACTCCGCTTCATACCAGGAGTCCTGTGAATCACCTGACTCCAAGTGAAGTTCTGTCCACCAAAGATACATAGCTGACAAGACATTCAATTCAGGAGCCCTTTCTGGAGGACAGGCAAACCCCTCCAAACAAGATGGAACTACCCATCTCAAGTGAGTTAAATTGCAATCAAAGCAAAACTCTACCCTTGGCTTTATCACTGTGAGAAACAGCCGTAAAAGAACCCCTTCTAATTATTTTTTGCAGAATTGCTATTAAATGCCTTCTAGAGTGTGTTGAATAGTGGCATCCAAAAATGTTACATCCAAGTCCTAACCCCTGGTAACTATGAATGTGACCTTATTTACTGGAAATGAGGTCTTTGCAAATGGAATTAAACTAAAGATCTCAAGATGAGATCATCTTGGATTTAGGCTGGGGCCTTGATCCAATGACTGATGTTCTTATAAGAGGAAGGAGAGGGAGTTTTGAGACACAAAGACACAGATTTAGGCTGGGGCCTTGATCCAATGACTGATGTCCTTATAAGAGGAAGGAGAGGGAGTTTTGAGACACAAAGACACATATGAAGATGAAGGCTGAGATTGAAGTAATGCAACCCAGGGAATGCCAAAGATTGCCTGCAACCACCAGGAACTGAGAGAGAGGCATGGAATGGAGTCTCCCCTACAGCCTCCAGAAGGAACCAACCCTGACAGCACCTTGATTTTGGACCTCTGGCCTCCAGAAATGTGAAAAAAAGTAAATTTCTGTTGTTTTAAAACACCAATTTTTCTGTCAATTGTTATAGTAGCCCTAGAAAGCTAATGCATCTTATGCATTACATCACAGTTCATATCAGGGAGTAAACAACAAATTTCCTTATAGAATTCAGTATACGGAAGCAGCATGTGTCTCCTGATAAACACACAAAGAGCAATAAGATTGTAACTTGACAATTTCACACTTTTTTTAAAAAAAAATCGATAAAAATTAGGGCTCAAGTTCAGTGATTTCCCATCTTGAATTCTTGCCATAAATGTCTGCTTGCTTTTCTGTTTCTGTTCTCTCTTTCACTTTGAACTTTATTTTTAGTTTGCTTACTGTGCACCAGGTTATATTATAAATCACCTAAAATCCCTTTTGAACAGAGATGGCTACAAAATTATAAATAACAGCAGAGTGACTGAAAGAATGAGCTCAAGAATCAAACTTCCTAGGTTCAAATACCAGCTCCACAACTTAGGAGCTAGATGACTGTGTGCACACTCCATGCCTCAGTTTCCTCAGCTGTCACATGGGAATAATATCAGTATTGTTCTATAGGGCTGCTGCAAAGGATTAAATAAGTTAACCAATACATGCAAAGCACTTAGAACAATGCCTGACATCTAAAAGGTATTCATTTCACAAATGTTGGCTATTACTATTGTTTGTCTGTGTTACTGCCTTAGTTACAATGCTCTCCTGGAGCTTCACTGCCTTCAGGATGAAGTTCAAGCTCCCTGCCACAGCACACAAAGCTTTCCATGATGGCTACCTGGGGGCTGCAACTTGTCTCTGCCAAGGGTGTCCTAGCTGACCCTCCAGCAATGCTGACCACACCTGCACACTTGGCTGTCTTTTCTGCTAGGGATTCTCTAGTTAACTCCTACTTACCCCTCAAGGCTCGGCCCTGGGGTTACCTGTTCCTGAAACCCAGGCCTCCCCTGGGTTGTGGTAGGCATTCTTCATCCCAGCTCTCTCTGTGCTCTGGGCCTGTCTCCATGTCTAGCTCACCATGTCCATAATCTGTTAGAGGGATTTGTGTTGTGTCTCCCTTGTCCAGGATGCATCCAGATCTCCTGATTTCAGTTGTGTTTGTTAGCAAAGAATGAAAGCACGGAAGCCCTTTGGAAGATGAGCCATCAGGCTGTGGTGAGGGAGGCTCCCTGTCTGAAGTCTGTATCCTGACTGAGCAGGGTGCCCCCGGAAGGGACAGATAGCCTCCAACTGTTTAAAGCTCCAGAAAGTTCTGCAAACCACATCTGGTCTGCTAATGCTTGGGGTAAAAGCTGGCTTTTCCATTAAGGCCTTTGAACCTTAAGGCTGGTGTTACACAGTTGGTTAACTGTCACTCTGCATTTAGAGTCACTGACCCCTATTTTGAGGGAGTTAAAGAATAACAGCCTCTGGGAGAAATAGAGTTTCCAGATAGATGACTTTGCTTGAGCACATTTGGAAGCATGACATTAAATCCTGTGAGAGGTTTGCCCTCATGCCCTTTTTGAAGACACACACACACGTATGCATGTATATCTGGGCACATGCACACATGTATGTGCATAAGAGAAAGAATTGGTCAGTGCCCTGTGGTATCATGGGAACATCCTCATATGAGAATCAAAGGATAACAGGTTCAGGGAAGAAACCCGCCCATGGACTTGGGTTTAGCTGGCCCTGTGTCCCACCCAACCCAGCTCTCCAGCTTCCCCCGACAAAGTTCCAGACCTCCTCTCCTGGGATCCCTTATTCCCACTGAAGGCAGTATACAGAGAGTGAGGGCCCCAGACTTGGGGCCTGTGCACATCCTGAGATGGAAGCCTGAGCCTGCACAGGGGGAGAAGTGGAACAGCCAGACTGCAGGTTCTCAGACAACACGGGCCCCTGTGCTCTCCAGGGCCCTCCTGAGGCTGCACCTTTTGACACTCTCCACCATTCAAGGGGCCCTTTGTGGTTATTCAGATGAAGAAAGATCAGGAGGTCTTCAGATGCAGAAAACAAGATATTAGGGGAGTAGAAAGGGAGCCAAGGTGATTTCTCCTCAGGTGGACCTGCACCAACAGCCAGTGTGGAAACAGTGTGGAACCTGGAGTCAGGCTGGCCTGGGCTAGAGCCAGAGGTGGGAGGAGGAGGGCAACTGGGAACCTGCTACATCCAGGCTAGACTGTAAATGTCTTCGGATGGGTAGCTGGTGCCAGGCACTCCTCCCTGTAACCACCCATAAAGACTGGCATGGAGCACATTTTCTTGCACACAGAAATCCTTGTACCATCAGCCTGTACCATATCCCCACTCTTCCACCCCCCAATCCCAACCTTCCAGGAGCGAAGGGGTGGAAACACTGATACTCCAGCCTCACCTGATCCAGCCTCATCATTCAGAGGGTAGGGAAATAAGACTCAATGTGCTTATGCCAAGATCAGATCTGCTTTGAGCCTGAGTTGCCTCAAGCAACTGAACGCCTCTCTGGCCTTGGGGCAGGTCTCTGGTCACTTACATAGAGGCCAAAAATCAAGTGCAAGCAGTAGGCAAGGCATGAAGTCAAAGTCAGATCATATGCAGGATGACAAGCGCCCAGTGGAACAACCATCGGCCTGAGTTGTGGTCTAGAGCTAAGATTGGACACCACCAGCAGCAAGGAGGTGGCAGCCAGTCAACCAATAGGTTCTAGGTGGTGAGGACGGAGCAGGGAACAAAATCACAGAAACCCTATCTTCCTGGAACCTACATTTCTCACTGAGAAGCAAAGGCTGGTGGCCCAACCCAAGTCTGAAGGGTTCACTGTGGCACAACGAGGCACTCAGACTCTGGGTTTGACTCCTCTTTGCCTCTTACATCTGTGTGACATTACGCAGGCCATTTACTTCTCCAGATCTCAATTTCCTCATCTGTAAAATGGGGTTAATAAGACCAGCAGCCTCAGTGGGCTGCGGCGAGGATTTTGTCAGTAAAGTAAAGCACTAAGAACAGCATGTGACTCACAGTAAGCAAGGTAAGAATTTCTTTGCTATTGTCCTGGACACTGCCCTTACAAAATTGCCAGGAGTGTGCAATGCTTGCACTGCAGAACATTTTAAAGAGGCCACCCAGGGCCTGCCAGCTTGTGTTCCATCAGTGGTGACAAATTTCTGCCTGGCCTCAGACAGGTCGCCAATTGTTCTCAGCCTCCATCCCCTTCCCCATTCCTGGGGTGGAAGAGGAGCAGATGATGCTGGCCCACTCAGGAGGTCCTAGGAGGCAATCTGAGGTCACCACAGAAGAGTCAAGGCAGGAGATTCCAGGCTAGCCATGGAAAGAGGTGGCAAGGCTTCATCTGGCAGGGTAAGCAGGAGCTCCGGGCTCACAGAGGTTACATATGCGCCTCTGAACATCTTGGGTGGCATCTGGAGCTGTTGTGTCATGATTTACTGAAAGCTGTACTTAAGTTAAATCAAGGTTGGAAAGGCTAATGAATGAACTCCTACCATTTAAAAAAAAAATAGTCGCCTTATTTTGATGAAGTTGGGATAGGAACAAGCAAGAAGAGTATCCAGCTCCTTCCGTCTCCGGCGTTCGCTGTGAGAGGAGCTGCCGCCATGTCTGCGCATCTGCAATCGGTGATCATGCGGAACTGCTCCAGTTTCCTGATCAAGAGGAATAAACACACCTACAGCACCGAGCCCAATAACTTGAAGGCCCGCAACTCCTTCCCGCTACAACCGGCTGATTCACTGCAAGACTGTGGGCGTGGAGCCGGCAGCCCATGGCAGAGGTGTCCTGGTGGTCACGAAGCGGAGATCCGGCCAGCGGACGCCTGCCATCTCCTACGTGCGGACCATCATCAACAAGAACGCTGGAGCCAAACTCAGCAGCATCAGATACATGATCCGCAAGAACAAGTACCGCCCTGACCTGCCATGGCTGCCATCAGCAAGGCCAGCGCCATCCTGCGCAGCCAGACGTCTGTGATGGTGAAGAGGAAGCTGACCAGCCCCACAAAGAGCTTGTGAGTTGCCTGCCCCCGAGCAATAGTCGGCTGGCTTTCTCACAAAAGGAAGAAGAAGAAGGAGGAGAAGGGAGAAAGGGGAAAGGGGAAAGGGGAAAGGGAAGGGGAAGGGGAAGGGGATGCAGTGTCCTGCAAAAAACTCAAGAAGACTTTTACTATTTGCGCTGATTTGTCATCCCCTAGGCATAGTCAGAAATAATATGAATGTCCGGCCACCTTGAAAGCCCTTGCAGTGTTTAGAAAATCTGTACTCTCCAATATGACAGCCACAAGCCACATGCGCCTATTGAGCACTTGAAAAGTGGCTCCTTGAGATATGCTGTATGTGTACACTCTGGATTCCAAGACTTAGTATGGAAAAAAAAATGTAAATATCTCATTAACAATTTTTATTGATTACGTATTGAAATACTAATATTTTCATATATTGGCTAAAATAAAATGTATTACTAAAATTAATTTCATCCATTTTTCTTTTTTTATGTGGCTACTAGAAAATCTACACATGGGGCTTGCTTGATATTTCTATTGGATGGTGAAGTTTAAACAGAGAATGGTGCTCATGGGGTCTGCCTTTCCCAGTGGTGCCAGCAAAAAGACTTTGCAGTGGAGAAAACCCTGGGCCAGGAGACTGCAGATCCAATTGATCACTTCACCTCAGCCACCAAGTTGCTGGATGGCTTTGGTAACAATAGTGATAGTAGCAAACACTTCCATAGTTTTTTATGTATATATGGAGGCCAGGTGCTGTTCTAAACATTTGACACATGTAAATTTCTCACTAAAACTCTATGAGATGATAGAAGCTATTATTAGCTCCATTTTCTGTATGTGGACACTGAGGTGTTAAGAGGTTAAATCACAAGCCCTAAGCTCACGACTGGAAATTGGTAGAGTTAGGATTCAAAGCCAGGCAGTCTGGTTCCAAGGTCTGTGTTGTAAACCACCTCTTACCTCAAGTAATCCAAACTCGCTTGGATTCAGTTTCTTCGTCTAAGAAACAAGGTTCAGAAGACGACAAGGGTGACCGCAGGCTGTGTAGATGTAAGCTGGCAGAAGCTTAGGAAAGGAAATTACATTGAAAGAGCTTCCCATCCACAAAGCTACTAAAACCCAAACCCAGTGCTTACAATAATGTCTTCCCAAATGCCCCCAAATGAAATTAACTTTTTCTCTTCTTATGCTTCATAACATTCTGATACATTACAGTCCTTCACACATCTTATCTTTCATTGCACACACACACACACACACACACACACACACACACACACACACACGTGTATATATATCCATTTCCTTCATTACTGTTCAGATTTTTTAAAGGCAGGCTGTCTTACAGATCAGTGCTTTTTAACTGGAGGTTAAAATTTTGCTCCCAGAGGACATTTGGTAATGTCTGGAGAAAGTTTTGATTAACACAACTTGTGAGGTTGGAGGTATGTTGCTACTATCATCTAGTGAGTAAAGATAAAAAATGCTGCTAAGCATCCTACAAAGCGCAGGACAGCCCCCTACAACAAAGAATTATCTGGGCCAAAATCTCCATACTTCCAAGAGTGAGAAACCCTGTCCTTCATTAGATCATTAGATGATCCATTGTGCCTAAAACATGCATGAAACAATAGGCACTCCATAAGTGACGAAAGATTGATTGATTGATTGATTGATTGATTGAAAGAATAATAAATACATATTCACCTATCTGCCCTGAATGTAACTTCCTTTTGGTTAGGCTCATCAAATATGTATTCAATGCCCACTATATGCCAGGCACATTCTAGGGCTGGGGGATAGGGGAATGCAAAGTTCTGAGGCACACGAGGCCCCTGTCCTCAGGGTAGGACAGTCTCCTAGGGGAGTCAGAGTCAAAGCAGTGTGTCAAACGTTAAGTGCCCTCAATCTCGCCAGCTCTGGACAGGAGCACCACACAGAAACTTTGTGAAGACAGATGACCCAGCCAATCCTGGAGATACTCATCATTTTTTCTCAATCTTTATTTTGAAAAATGTCAAACATACAGAAAATGTGGAATAACAGTACAATACACATATATATATACATAGTAACATTTAGATAGATAGATAGAGAAATATAAATACACACAAAATGCTTTGGAAAATAAGATGCAGACATTATGACCTCAGCCAAATACATCAGCATGCATAGGACAGACCTGCTGATTTAATCAGTCTGGAGTGGGGCCTTGGCATCACTAGTTTAAAAAATTCTCCATTTGGGTAAGGGCCAAGATAGCCGAATGGGAACAGCTCTGGTCTGCAGCTCCCAGCGAGACCAATGCAGAAGGCAGGTGATTTCTGTATTTCCAAATGAGGTACCAGTTCATCTCACGGAACTGGTTAGGCAGTGGATGCAACCCACAGAGAGCAAGCAGAAGCAGGGCGGGGCATGGCTTTACCTGGGAAGTGCAAGGTGGCAGGGGACCTGCCTCCCCCAGCCAAGGGAAGCCATGAGGGACAGTGCTACCCGCCCCGGGTACTATGCTTTTCCCACAGATCTTCGCAATCCACAGATCAATAGATTCCTTTGTGAGCCTACACCACCAGAACCCTGAGTTTCAAGCACAAAACTGGGTGGCTGTTTAGGCAGGCACTGAGCTAGCTGCAGGAGATTTTTCATATCCCAGTGGCACCTGGAACCCCAATGGGACAGGAGAACCGTCCACTCCCCTGGAAAGGGGCCTGAATGAAGTTAGGGAGCCAAGTGGTCTCACTCAGCAGGTCCCACTCCCACAAAGCCCAGCAAACCAAGAACCACTGGCTTGAAATTCTCACTGCCAGCGTAGAAGTCTGGAGTTGACCTGGGATGATGGAGCTTGGTGAGCAGAGGGGTATCCACCATCACTGAGGCTTTAGTAGGCAGTTTTCCCCCGACAGTGCGAAGGAGACTGGGAGGTTTGGACTGGGCAGAATTCACCACAGCATGGCAAAGTGGCTGTGGCCAGACTGCTTCTCTAGATTCCTGTCACCGGGCAGGGCATCTCTACAGGAAATGCAGCAGCCCCAGTCAGGGGCTTACAGATAAAACTCTCATCTACCTGGGACAGAGCACCTGGTGGGAGGGGCGGCTGTGGGCCCTGCTTCAGCAGATTTAATCTTTCCTGCCTGCTGGCTCTCAAGTGAGCAGCTGATCCTGACAAGGGAGATTCTCCCAGCACAGCACACCAGCTCTGCTAAGGGACAAACTGCCTCCTCAAGTGGGTCCCTGGCCTCCGTGCCTCCTGACTGGGAGAGACCTCCCAACAGGGGTCGACAGACACCTCATACAGGAGAGCTCCAACTGGCATCTGGCAGGTGCCCCTCTGGGATGAAGCTTTCAGAGAAATAAGCAGGCAGCAATCATTGCTGTTTTGCAGCCTCCACTGATGATACCCAGGGGAAGAGTGTCTGGAGTGGACCTCCAGCAAACTGCAGCAGACCTGCAGAAGAGGGGCCTGACTGTTAGAAGAAAAAATAACAAAGAGAAAGCAACAACAAAAACAACAAAAAAGACCCGCACACAAAAACCCTATTCAAAGGTAATCAGCCTCAAAGATCAAAGGTAGATAAATCCAGGAAGATGAGGAAAGACCAGTGCAAAATTCTGAAAATTCGAAAAGCCAGAATGCCTCTTCTTCTCCAAATGATTGCAACTCCTCTCCAGCGAGGGCACAAAACTGGTTGGAGAATTAGATTGAGAAATTGACAGAAGTAGGCTTCAGAAGGTAGGTAATGACAAACTCCTCTTAGCTAAAGGAGCATGTTCTAACCCAACGCACGGAAGTTAAGAAATTTGATAAAAGGTTACAGAAATGGCTAACTAGAATAACCAGTTTAGAGAGGAACATAAATGACCTGATGGAGCTGAAAAACATAGTACAAGAACTCCGTGAAGCATACCCAAGTATCAATAGCCAAATTGATCAAGTGGAAAAAAGGACATCAGAGATTGAAGACCATCTTCTTGAAATAAGGCATGCAGATGAGAGTAGAGAAAAAAGAATGAAAAGGAATGAGCAAAGCCTCCACGAAGTATGGGACTATGTGAAAAGACCAAACCTATGACTGATTGGCATACCTGAAAGTGACAAGGAGAATGGAACCAAGTTGGAAAACACACCTCAGGATATTATTCAGCATAACTTCCCCAGCCTAGCAAGAGAGGCCAACATTCAAATTCAGGAAATACAGAGAACACTACTAAGATACTCCATAAGAAGATCAACACCAAGACACATAATCATCAGAGTCTCCAAGGTTGAAATGAAGGAAAAACTGTTAAAGGCAGCCAGAGAAAAAGGTCAGGTTACCTTCAAAGAGAAGCCCATCAGAATAACAGTGGATTGCTCTGCAGAAACCCTACAAGCCAGAAGAGAGTGGGGGCCAATATTCAACGTTCTTAAAGAAAAGAATTTTCAACACAGAATTTCATATCCAGCCAAATGAAGCTTCATAAGTGAAGGAGAAATAAAGTCCTTTACAGACAAGCAAACGCTGAGGGATTTTGTCACCACCAGGCCGGCCTTACAAGAGCTACTAAAGGAAGCGCTCAATATGGAAAGGAAAAGCTGGTACTGGCCACTGCAAAAAGCACACCAAAATATAAAGACCAATGACATTATGAAGAAACTGCACCAAATAATGGGCAAAATAACCAGCTAGCATCATAATGGCAGGATCAAATTTACACATAATAATATCAACCTTAAATGTATATGGGCTAAATGCCCCAATTAAAAGACACAGACTGGCAAATTAGATAAAGAGTCAAGACCCATCCATATGCTGTATTCAGGATACCCATCTCACATGCAAAGACATACATAGGCTCAAAATAAAGGGATGGAGAAATATTTGCCAAGCAAATGAAGAGGGAAAAAAAGCAAGTTGCAATCCTAGTCTCTGATAAAACAGGCATTAAACCAACAAAGATCAAAAAAGACAAAACAAGGGCATTACATAGTGGTAAAGGGATCAATTCAACGAGAAGAGCTAACTATCCTAAATATATATGCACCCAATATAGGAGCACCCAGATTCATAAAACAAGTTCTTAGAGACCTACAAAGAGACTTAGACTCCCACACAATAATAGTGGAAGACTTTAACACCCCACTGTCAATATTAGAAAGACCAATGAGACAGAAAATCAACAAGGATATTCAGGACTTGAACTCAGCTCTGGACCAAGTGGACCTAATAAAGATCTGCAGAAGTCTCCACCCCAAATTAACAGAATATACATTCTTCTCAGTGCCACATAGCACTTATTCCAAAATTATCCACATAATTGGAAGTAAAACACTTCCCAGCAAATGCAAAGGAATGGAAATCATAACAAATCATCCCTCAGACCACAGTGCAATCAAATTAGAACTCAGGATTAAGAAACTCCCTCAAAACTGCACAACTACATGGAAAGTGAATAACCTGCTCCTGAATGATTCCCAAGTAAATAACGAAATTAAGGAGGAAATCAAGAAGTTCTTTGAAGCCAATGAGAACACAGAGATAACGTACCAGAATCTCTGGGACACAGCTGAAGCAGCATTAAGAGGGAAATATACAGCACTAAATGCCCACATGAGAAAGTGGGAAAGATCTAAAATCTACACCCTAACATCACAATTAAAAGAACTAGAGAAGCAAGAGCAAACAAATTCAAAAGCTAACAGAAGACAAGAAATAACTAAGATCAGAGCAGAACTGAAGAACATAGAGACACGAAAAACCCTTCAAAAAATCAATGAATCCAGGAACTGGTTTTTTGAAATGATTAACAAAAGAGATAGACTGCTAGCCAGACTAATAAAGAAGAAAAGAGAGAAGAATCAAGTAGATGCAATAAAAAATGATAAAGGGGATATCATCACTCTTCCCACAGAAATACAAAGTATCATCAGAGAATACTATAAACACCTCTGTGCAAATAAACTAGAAAATATAGAAGACATGGATAAATTCCTGAATACATACACCCTCCAAAGACTAAACCAGGAAGAAGTCGAATTCCTGAATACACCAATAACAAGTTCTGAAATTGAGGCATTAATTAATAGCCTACCAACCAAAAAAAGCCCTGAACCAGATGGATTCACAGCCAAATTCTATCAGAGGTACAAAGAAGAGTTTGTACCATTCCTTCTGAAACTATTCAAAACAATAGAAAAAGAGGGACTCCTCCCTAACTCATTTTATGAGGCCAGCATCATCCTGATACCAAAGCCTGGCACAGACACAACAAAAAAAGAAAATTTCAGGCCAATATCCCTGGTGAACATTGATGTGAAAATCCTCAATAAAATACTGGCAAACCGAATCCAGTAGTACATTAAAAAGCTTATCCACCATGATCAAGTTGGCTTCATCCCTGGGATGCGGGGCTGTTTCAACATATGCAAATTAATAAATGTAATCCATCACATAAACAGAACCAATGACAAAAACCACATGATTATCTCAATAGATGCAGAAAAGGCCTTTGATAAAATTCAACATCCCTTCATGCTAAAAACTCTCAGTAAACTAGGTATTGATGGAACGTATCTCAAAATAATAAGAGATATTTATGACAAACCCATAGCCAATATTATACTGGATGGGCAAAAACTGGAAGTATTCCCTTTGAAAACCAGTGCAAGACAAGAGTGGTGTCTCTCACCACTCCTGTTCAACATAGTATTGGAAGTTCCGACCAGGGCAATCAGGCAATAGAAAGAAACAGTGCATATTGAAATAGGAAGAGAGGAAGTCAAATCATCTCTGTTTGCAGATGACATGATTGTATATTTAGAAAACCCCATCGTCTCAGCCCAAAAACTCTTTAAGCTGATAAGCAACTTCAGCAAAGTCTCAAGATACAAAATCAATGTGTAAAAATTATAAGAATTCCTATACACCAACAGTAGACAAGAAGATAACTAAATCATGAATGAACTCCCATTCACAATTGCTACAAAGAGAATAAAATATCTAAGAATACAACTTACAAAAGATGTGAAGGACCTCTTCAAGGAGAACTACAAAGCACTGCTCAAGGAAATAAGAGAGGACACAAACAAATGGAAAAACATTCCATGCTCCTGGATAGGAAGAATCAATGAAAATGGCCATATTGCCCAAAGTAATTTATAGATTCAATGCTATTCCCACCATTGGGAATCCCATCAAGCTACCATTGACTTTCTTCACAGAATTAAAAAAAACTACTTTAAATTTCATATGGAACAAAAAAAGAGCTCATATAGCCAAGACCATCCTAAGCAAAAAGAACAAAGCTGGAGGCATCATGTTACCTGACTTCAAATTATGCTACAAGGCTACAGTAACCAAAACAGCATGGTACTGGTACCAAAACAGATATATAGACCAATGGAACTGAACAGAGGCCTCAGAAATAACACCACACATCTATACCATCTGATCTTTGACAGACCTGACAAAAACAAGAATGGGGAAAGGATTTCCTGTTTAATAAATGGTTTTGGGAAAACTGGCTAGTCATATGTAGAAAACTGAAACTGGACCCCTTCCTTACACCCTATCCAAAAATTAACTCAAGATGGATTAAAGACTTAAATGTAAAGCCTGAAATCATAAAAACGCTAGAAGAAAACCTAGACAATACCATTCAGGACATAGGCATGGGCACAGATTTCATGACTAAAACACCAAAAGCAATTGCAACAAAAGCCAAAATTGACAAATGAAATCTAACTAAACAAAAGAGCTTCTGCACAGCAAAAGAAACTATCATCAGAGTGAACAGGCAACCTACAGAATAGGAGAAAAACTTTGCAATCTACCCATCTGACAAAGATCTAATATCCAGAATCTACAAAGAACTTAAACAAATTTACTAGAAAAAAACAAACAACCCCATCAAAAAATGGGCAAAGGATATAAACAGACACTTCTCAAAAGAAGACATTTATGCAGCCAACAAACATATGAAAAAAAGCTCATCATCACTGGTCATTAGAGCAATGCAAATCAAAACCACAATGAGATACCATCTCACGTCAGTCAGAATGGTGATTATTAAAAAGTCAGGAAACAACAGATGCCGGTGAGGCTGTGGAGAAAGAGGGACACTTTTACACTGCTGGTGGGAGTGTAAATTAGTTCAACCATTGTGGAAGACAGTGGGGTGATTTCTCAAGGATCTAGAACCAGAAATACCATATGACCCAGCAATCCCATTACTGAGTATATACCCAAAGAATTATGAATCATTCTGCTATAAAGACACATGCACACATATGTTTATTGCAGCACTATTTACAATAGCAAAAACTTGGAACCAACCCAAATCCCAAATGCCCATCAATGATAGACTGGATAAAGAATATGTGGCACATATACACCATGGAATACTACACAGTCATAAAAAAGAATGAGATCATGTCCTTTGCAGGGACAAGGATGAAGCTGGAAGCCATCATTCTCAGCAAACTAACACAGGAACAGAAAACCAAACACCGCATGTTCTCACTCATAAGTGGGAGTTGAACAATGAGAACACATGGACACAGGGAGGGGAACAACACATAGTGGGGCCTGTCAGGGGCTTGGGGGGGCAAGGGGAAGGAGAGCATTAGGGCAAACACCTAATGCATGAGGGACTTAAAATTTAGATGAAAAATTGATAGGTGCAGCAAACTACCATGGCACACGTATACCTGTGTAACAAACCTGCACATTCTGCACATGTATCCCAAAACTTAAAGTAAAAAAAAAAAATTCTCCATTTGGACCCACAGCCAGACTTGAGAACTCCTGGGATATAGGAACTGTAGGAACCAGACCTCTTTTGGGAAAGAGAGATGGCTTTCAGGAGGAGGTAAAGCTGAAGCTGGGAACCTGAACAAGCACAACAGTGAAGCTGTAGAGGGAGGAGGGAAGGACTTGAGGGGAATTTATCTAGGAGGTAATTAGAACCACCTGGTGACTGGAGCCTGGCCTGCTTCCTGGTTCCCTTTTCCCCTCTCTGGCTGGCCTGTTTCCATTTACAGGCTTACCTTCCAAGTCTCTAGAACCAAGACTGGGTGACACAAGGAGGTACTGCTCAAAATCAGATCACCCTTGCTTGGGTCCCCATTCTGGCAGCTGCACTTCTGCTCTGTACCCATGGCGTGCCTCAGCCCTGGAATCCAATATTTGCCCCTGCCGGCCCTTGTGTTTGTGTTTGTGTCTGTATTAGCCTGTTCTCGTGCTGCTAATAAAGTCATACCCAAGACTGGGTAATTTACAGAGGAAAGAGATTTAATTGACTCACAGTTCAGCATGGCTGGGGAGGCCTCAGGAAACTTACAATTATGGCAGAAAGGGAAGCAAACATGTCCTTCTGCACATGGTGGCAGGAAGGAGAAGTGCCATGCAAAGGGGGAAAAGCCCCCCTTATAAAACCATCAGATCTCATGAGAACTCACTATCACAAGAAGTGATACAATTCAATCACTTGAATTAAAGTGATTGAATTGTATCACTTCACACAAGAAGTGTAACAATTCAAGATGAGATTTGGGTGAGGACACAGCCAAAACATATCAGAGTCTCAGCAACCTGACCAGAGACACATGGGCCTTCTAAGATTGGAGCCCTCATTAATCCTTCTCCCTTTATTAGAGGTTTCTTAAGCTTTTGCCTGATTTCTGAATCCTGCCTGCTCCCAGGCTTACAATTCCACCTTCTATGCACTGCTGGGCCCCTCATGCATACCAGCTGTGTCACTGGGGAGTGCACGCCTGTTGCAGTGTCCTCTAGATGCCTTCTTCCACCTGCTTAATGCACGTCCTGCCACCCCACCCACCCTGGGAGCTGGGTCTGTTTACAGGGCCCTTTCCCTTGCACTTACGACAGCCCTGGTGCACTTCCCCACTTCTGGTTTCCATCTCCTAATCTGTACACAAGCAAGAGGCTTGCTTTAGTGATCCCTACAGCCTCTTTCAAGCCAAACATTCTATGATTCCCAAATCTGATCAATGATAACAGTGAGCATCAGAGTGCATGCAGAAAGTCCTTATGTTGGCTCTGGTTATCTTAAAACTTAGCCTACTAGCACATAATCTCAACATTCATAGAGGGCAAAACCATCAAGCAGGCTTGTTTTTAGTCAACGCACAAACAAAACCTGCATGGTTGGTTGATTGCATTGTTGAATAATCTCCTGGTAAGTTTCCTATTAATTTAAGTCTTTGTACCTCCAGCATTCTGGCTAATGCTTCACTCCACTCATCTTAAGTATATTTAGCTCACTCATTTTCCTCAGTTCTGTAAATTGAAGCAAAATACCTCCATGCTCCCTCTGATTTCCACAAAGCCTGCAAAAGCAGCTACCTTTAAAGAGGTCAAAACAGAAGAGATGCCACTTAAGGACAAATGAGGTCAGGCCTGGCCCTTGGACTTGGCTCTTCAAGTTCTGCTCTGTTGGCTGTGTACAGAATAAATTTTGGCTCCCAGCTGGCTGTGGTGGCCTGGACACAGATACACTGTGTTCATGGGCAGATCACAAGGGCCAGACCAATGATCTTTGCCAAACTCCTCACAGGCGGGAGGTTCTGAATCCCAGGGACTTCCAAGGTGGAAAGAAACTGCAGGTCGTTCAGGGCAACCCCTCTCCTTTACAAAGAAGAAAATGAGGCCCAGAAATGTCAAGTACCTTCTCTGAGGTTGCACATCAAATTAGTATGTGCTCATCTATGCTGTCTCTTTCATTCTGTCTGACCTGGAAATTCTGCTTTGTGGACTTTATGCCACAGATCTGCTCACACACAGGCACAATGATGTATAAGCAAGGTTATTCACTGCAACACGGCAGCAGAGTACAACACTGGAAGCAGCTTCAGTAACCATCAGGAGAGGACTGATGTTCAATGGAATGCTAAGCACCTGTAAGGAAGACTGAGGTAGCTCTCCATGTGCTGATATGGAAAGATCTCTGAGATACCTTAGATGAAGAACCCAAGGTGCTAAGCTGTGCCTATGGTATGCTACTGTTTGTGTGAAAATGGAGAAAAAGGCTAAGAGTATATGTGTGTGTGTGTGTGTGTGTGTGTGTGTGTGTGTGTGTTTGCTTATAACAGGTATGACTTTCATCTTGTTTGCCTATAGAGAGGGGAACTGCATGGCTGGGGATGCGAGGCAGAATTTTCACTATAAAACTTTTAACTAGGCTGGGCACGGTGGCTCACACCTGTAATCCCAGCACTTTGGGAGGCTGAGGCGGGCCGATCACGAGGTCAGGAGATCCACACCATCCTGGTTAACATGGTGAAACCCCCTCTCTACTAAAAATACAAACAATTAGCCAGGCATGGTGGCGTGCGCCTGTAGTCCCAGCTACCCGGGAGGCCGAGGAAGGAGAATTGCTTGAACCCAGGAGGCTGAGGTTGCAGTGAGCCGAGATCGCACCACTGCACTCCAGCCTGGGCTACAGAACGAAACAGTGTCAAAAAAAAAAAAAACTTCTAACTGTTGGTGCCATATTATTACTCATTCAAAAGCTTAAGTAAACATATAGACCATGTGGCAGACTGGGGTCCAGGTGGCTTGTCCAAGGTGATTCAGCTGGCTAAATGACAGAGCTGCTCCTGGGTCCCGGTCCTCCTTATTCTTGGCATGCACATACAAAAAAAAATGCTTTCCAAAATACTTGTTAAGTTCTAGAAAGAGGGAAGTGGTCAATTCAGAAGAGGAGGGGAAAATGGGGGAGGGGAGTAGAATACTGTTAAGGTGAAGACAGAAGACAGGGGGAAGAGGGAATGGGAAGCAGGAATGGAAGGAGAGTGGGCGGGAGCAGGAGCCTGTAGGAGAGAATGTGAATTTGCAGCCCGAGTGCCCTTGCAGACTCAAGATGGCTCCAGCTCAACATGCGCTTGTAGCCAAGATTCATTTGCTAAGCAGCAATAGCAAGAGAGTTAGTCCAGGAAGGAGGTGGCTGAGTGCAGCCACAAGCTCTGTAGAGGGCCATGAGCTATCCAGTCGGCATCCACCTCAACTCAAATTCCACAGAATAAGCCTCTCTGGGCAGCTGTGCTCTGCCATGTGCATGAGTTCAACAACACCACAGCCTCCCCCAAGAAATCTGCACATTCATTTTTCCAGCCTCCTGAGAGAGTGACACCTTTTGTGTGACATGACACTTTGTTTCTCCACCAGAGGTCTGACAGAACTTTCTGGGGTGTTGACTGGACACAGCCTTGGGCTGGTGCCACTGTGGCCCTGGGCAGAGGTCCTATTGAGTCAGCCATTGTCTCTTTTCCATTTTCTAAACATGCCCCTTACAGTTAAGAGAACTTGTCTGCCAGAACACCATTTTACGTACTCTCCCTTGTCAGCTCAGACCATTTTGGAGACAGGAGAAGAGAAAGGTCTTGGGGAGTCAGGCTCTGGGCTGTCTCCACCCTCTTGTGATAAGGAATGGAGCTAGCTTTCCTAACAGCTGAAGCTCAGGCTCCATTGCTGGGACTCTATCTTACATTCTTTGGGAATCAACTCTCCTTTGTTGTCTTTCTTTTTCTCATTTGTTAAGCACAGAAGCAATTTTCTTTCTGGGTCTGTTTAGACAAACTAATGTAAACACCATGAGAAGCTTCAAACTCTCTCTGCCGATAGGCCAGCTCCGTTTTGCAGTCAAAAGTCATGTCTAAGCAAGGAGCCTGATGAGTACAAGGGGAACCCTAGAGGTGCTGTGGGACCATCCTGAGGTCTCACTGTGGCCTGGCTTCCAAGGGTCTGGGTCCCCAACCCCCAGCCATAACTGGGTCACAGGCTCCAAGGCACATTGTCTCCCTGGAGGATGTTTCAAATGGCTTGCCTCAGTCAATGCATTGTCAGAAAGGGGAGGGGAAGGCATCAAAGAAAGGGTTCATCTGACATAGGAAACCTCTTTGTGCAGAGATGACACAGTGATGCCTCAATGAACACACAAAGCATCTTTCACTAAAATCAGCCAGGCACAAAGGGGTAGCTGTGGTCTCCTAGACCCTTCTGCTCTGGTTGGCTGGTGCTGCAGCTGTGGAGGGAAGGCAGGGGTGTGGTCTCAGCACAGGTGTAAGCCCCGTACAGGTGGGCCATGTGTGTAGGATAAGGGGAGCTCACAATGTTATGGGCCTTGGACTTGTGCAAAGACAGCCAAATTCAGAGTCCTTTGGAATATAAAAACTTTTGCTCAGTCCCACAGCTTGCCTGGTCCAAGACCAGAGAGAGGCAGTCTGGGACCTCCTACCCTGGAGCCCTCTCCAAGTCGGCACACCTTATGTAAGGTATTCTCTCTGCCGCACCTCAGCCATTCATCCTCCATGTAGTTGCAAGATCAATCTTACTGAAAAACAGCTCTAATAACATTACTTACCCATCAAAAAACTATGATGACTTCCTGTTTTTACTACAGAATGATGGGCTAGTTTCTTAGTAATTAACTTACTTAAAACTAGGTGTAATAGGGGAAAATTTTCCAATTTTCTTATGGCAGTGAAGCTGAGGCCTGGCCCTCTGACTGCAGTTGGGAGATTTCTCCATTCCTGGTAAACTGCTCTGGCAGCATATATCTATTTCAAGCTACTTCTTAAGGCAATACATGGCACCTTTGAGGCAGGGTTTCATCCTCCATGGCAATTACTATTGGATGGTAGGACAGTCATGATCATTAATTATGAATATCTGATCTGACACAGTTTTGAGAAAGGGAATTGATTGATGGCAACTGTTCCTAGTATTTGCCATTCATACATTATAGAATCAAGAAGAAAAAGTGTGCGTGTGTGTGTGTGTACATAATCACAAACTATACTGTGTTCTCCTCATCACTAACAGTCTATTAATGTAGTCATTGCCAACAGCAACACATAGGTCCTGGTAAAGTAGTTGTCTCTGTTACAGCAGGGTGGGAAAGAGAGAAGGAGGCCCCATCACTGGGCCATGGTCAGGGAATCCATGTCTAAGTCTCATCCCTGTGACTATTATATCAGCTTCTGATAATAAAAATTTTTCTAATAAATATTGTCTTTGGAATCTCCTGTGGTGAAATTTATTCATGAATAAATGAGAAGGAGCAGGAAGCATTGGCTGGTAATACAATGCAGAGTAATTCTGAAATGAATGGAGAGGGTGACATCTCAGGATGTTCAAGCATGGCACAAGCATGATCTTAGCTGTAAAATTAACTCTGTCACCCCACAACATTCCCACATTCTGGGTTTCACTATCTCCTACAACAAAACTCAATCTTGCCCCATCGTTTTCAAGCCTCTGTTGAGACTTAAATCATTAGTACCTGGTCCAACACTGGTTCTGGGAGAATGTACCAGCATTGTTGGGTTCTGCATGCTGTAACCCAACCTCGGAAGACCAGTTGGTTCTGGGAAAACTCTTATCTGCCTCCATCAACCACTCATGTTATCTAGGCTGAGCCACTTTCCCCAGGAAAATCTTTAAACTTCTTTCCAGTTCAGACCGACTGCTTGGATGTGGCCCACAGTGAATCCAGCCTGGGCCATCATGGTACTCCAAGTGGCTTCATTTTCCATAGAGCTTAGTGTCCAGTAAATACCCAGGCATTTCCGAATTTCACCCCATTAAAACTGAAGCCTTTCTTGTGAAAACAGGAGGAAATTATAGTCACTAATCTGAGATCAGGCGACAGTTACACTCCTCTGTAGACCAGGGGCCAGCTTGCTGATAGTCATCTTTTCTGAAGTCAGGCCAGGACCTTAGGTCTTTAGGAGAAGGCCCAAATCTAATTTAGCAGAGGGATAAGACACCAGCTTGCCAACACAGCATCTCCAAGTCCCTTATTTCTCTAGGCAGACATCTGCTACGTTTGGCTTCGAGTGTTGTCTGTCAGTTAATAGCAATGAAGTTACTCCTGAGGCTCCAATATATGACAGATTTGTGCTTATTCATTTCCCTTTCCTTCATTACAAATTGTTTTGATTATAATTAGTGTACTCCATGGAGTGCTATTGGATTTTAGAATCTTTAATTATCTATAGTAAATATATTTCCTTTTTATACCAAAATACTTGGTAAATTGGTGTTTAGTTGAAATGTCCTGTCAGCCTCATAAATAAATAACAGTTTGCACTCCAATGGTCGGCCACATTCTGGACATCTTCTCAGAGTGGAAGCCTGGGGTGGGAGATGGAGGATGGAGGGTGAGAAACTTCCTGACCTCTTCCCTTGTTGCACTGACTTGGGTGGTCTGGGCTTAGTAAAGCACTTCTAACCTTGGACTTGTGTTTTCCCAAAGCAAGTGGAAAAGCATCATCAGCTCTCAGGTGAGGAGCTTTGGCTTGGACTTTTGGCCATGAGCACAATTAATCAACAGGTTATGCAAATTAGATGGTAATTAATTCCTGGTAGCAGGCACATTTCCATTCAGACTGCTGCATATGCTGTGTGGTGATCAATTTGGTCTCCAAGGAAGCCCTGCTTCTTCCAATGTTGTGGGCCTTGGACTTGTGCAAAGACAGCCAAATTCAGAGTCCTTTGGAATATAAAAACTTTTGCTCAGTCCCACAGCTTGCCTGTTCCAAGACCAGAGAGAGGCAGTCTGGGACCTCCTACCCTGGAGCCCTCTCCAAGTCTGCACACCTTATCTAAGGTGTTCTCTTTGCCACACCCCAGCCATTCATCCTACATGTGGTTGCAAGATCGATCTTCCCGAAAAACAGCTCTACTCATGTTACTTAGCCATCGGTAAACTATGATGACTTCCTGTTTTTACTACAGAATGGTGTGCAAATTTCTTAGTAATTAACTTGGTAATTAAAACTATATGTGGTAGGAGAGAAATTTCCAATTTTCTTATGGCAGCGAAGCTGAGGCCTGGCCCTCTGACTGCAGATGGAAAGTTTCTCCATTCCTGGTAAACTGCTCTGGCAGCATATATCTATTTCAAGCTACTTTTTAAGGCAATACATGGCACCTTTGAGCCAGGGTTTCATCTTCCATGGCAATTACTATTGGATGGTAGGACAGTCATGATCATCAATTATGAGTATCTGATCTGACATAGTTATGAGAAAGAGAATTGACTGATGGCAACTGTTCCTAGTATTTGCCATTCATACGTTACAGCATCAAGAAAAAATGTGTGTGTGTGTGTGTGTGTGTGTGTGTACAAACTATACACAGTTCTCATCACTAACAGTCTATTAATCAGTGGGCCCAAAAAATACATTGGCTGCCCCATAATTGCAAACAGGGCCTGTGGACTCAGGGCTAGCAGCTAGATGGAGATCACAGTGAAGACTGGGAATGCCTATTGGGAAGGTGCTCCAGCCAAAGAATTCAAGGGACCAGAGGTCAAGAAAGAGCAGAGAATCAAAGCTGGGCCCCTTGTGGGGAGGCCGAAGTCAGGCAAAACAAGTGACAAAGAAGGCGGTAAGTGCAAGCTGAGCAATTATGTGAACAGAGGCAGAAAAAAGGAACTTTGGAACTGAAGAAAGCTGTTCCATGGCTTGTTCCATTTCGGAGTACTAAAATGTCACCTTCTCAGAATGGCCCTCCCTGGTGTTCCTGGCTAAAAGAGTAGGTTCTGAGACTCTCCATCTGAAACTTGCTTTATTGTTGTTCATAGCTCTTTTCTCCGTCTAATAAGATATTAATTTTTCATTTCCTTGTGTGTTTATTATTTGTAACCCCCAGCAGAGTGTAAACTCACTATAAGTGGAGACATTTTCTTGTTCACTCTGGTGTCCCCAATGCCTAAGACAGCTCCTAGGACAAAGTAGAGTTTCAATAGATATTTGCTGTCTGAATGATGAACTCACTTAACAGATGAGGAAAGTGGGGTTCAAAATGAGGAGTGGCTTACAGAGGTCAGGAGAGCTGTAAACATCCTGCGATGCAGAGGATCCCCCCCTAGCACCTACAACCGAGACTTAGCCAGCCCAAAATGTCAGTGGTGCCCAGCTGAGAAACACTGGGCTACACAGACAGGATGGGAGGTTGGCAATGGAAGAGGAGGGTGTGGAGAGGATGTGCATGACCCAGACCTTGGATGATGGGAACATTTGCACATATGGAGATGAGGAAGAGCTGGCGAGGGAGGAAATTAAACATCTGTCCGCCATCCCCAGTGTGTGGCCTCCCTCATTTTGTGCCTAGCACTCCCTCCCTGAAGTTGTGCGAACCAAAAATGTCTCCAGACATTGGCAAATGTCCCCTGGAGGACAAAATTGCCTCTGGTTGAGAACTGCTGGAGTCTAGCCAAAGTCAGCTCTCCCCTCTCCTTCCTCAGAACTCCAACCTCACTGTGGGAGACACTTCTTAAAGGCTGGGCACTGCTTAACTTGCTCATCTTCTCTCCTGCTGGGTGGTGAGCTCTTCATCCTGACCCTGGAGGCATTTCTCTCACGTGTGGGAGTAAGGGGCATCAGGGCATCAGTTTCTAAAGCACTTGGTAACCTTTGGAGGAGAAATAACCTAATTTAGAGCCAAACAGAAATAAATCAAGACTCTAGAGATAGTTTGGATATCACTGGCTGCCATAAAATTGTGATGACATTAAGCCATCCTGCTAGATTGATTTGTAAATGATGCTAACATAGCTCTGATATTATAAGGAAGGCATTTGAAATAAAAGACAAACAACTCTCTATTTATCACTGCTGAACATTTGAAGGAAAGCTGGAAAAGGAAAGAAGCATTGAGGGCAGAAATCCAAGAGACTTGATTGACAGTTCAGACAATAGTCCCTGAGGGGCACCCTCAGAAGCTCAGGGCTACTTTATTTAGCATTTAAAGATGTTGCTATCTGTCCATTCAAAGGAAAAAAATAACCTTTTTTGTTTGGTTTGATGTTCTTTCTTTCTGGTTTAAGATTCAGCACATCACCCAGAGGGGTGAATTTCATCAAAATATTTTCCCCAAATGATCTACAGTTCCATTTTGTAATATGTTGCCACCCACGTCAATAGCTATTGATATTCTGTAATTTTCAGTGACTAGCTGAAGCTCTCCCATGCACTACACTAATCCAGCTGCTTGTTATAGGTAAAAATAAAGGAAGTGATTATTACGCTGGTGGAAAACTCAGTTGCAGCTCAAAGACTACATAACTATAAATTGCAGAAGGATTAGGAATTCATGGTTGGGTAGAACAATTATAGGTCAGCAATTTCATGTTAAATTGCTTATTGCAAGGTGGAAGTGGAAGATACTGCCAAGCAAAATCAATTTACCTTGAAAATAATTAGTGAGATGCAAACACCTGGAGATGGGAAATTCGTTTGAAAGTAATTATTGCTGCTCAAATCTAGCCAGTCTCTTTCAGCAGCAAGGACTGTCTGCAGATGGAGATTTCACTGAATTGAGTGCTGCTTGAAAGGATCTGTTGGATTCTCATCTAAAATCAGCTTGAGTTTAGCATTATAGGGGAAAGCTCACGCTGTACAAAGAGCTTAATAGTCAGGATTAGATGGGTTTCTGAATGCACAGGGAAGAGAAAAATGGGAAGCAATATGTGAACTGAACAATCAAGTCAGATTTAGAGGCCTTAGCCTGGTCTAGTAACCCAGTTAACTGCCAATTCCTTTATGTGGATGAGGAAAGATGAATGTCTCCTTTATTCACCATATGCAACACACCCTCAGTCATTGAAGACAGAAACATTGAACGGAGTGACACATTGCTTTTCCATGTGCAATTTGCTGTATCTTTACTGGAGAGCATTCCGAGTACTGAGGCAGAAGTTGTGAAGTCAGTTAAAATCACCAGCAATGGTTGGCAAGGAAATTTGAACAATAAAGAAGCTGAGACTCTAAACACACCCCACAAGACTGGGTCTCACATCCCTGAAGGGAGGGGAAATTAGATAGGGCAGATGGTTTTATTGCATTGAGGTATACTTTGTCCTTTAGAGTCATTTCTATCATCTATGCTAAAGACAGAAATGAAAACAGGTTCTGCAGACATGCAGCTGGTCCTGTATCACACAACGCTCCAGTGAGTTGAAGAGGGCAGATCTGCATGAAAACACAACCAAAAGAACAGGTAAAAACAGCCACAAATCACCAAATGACCAGAGGGACTGTTGTCTTTGGTTTGTGGTCTTTCTGCTTCTGTAGGATCAGCCAAAGTAGTCAGTCCTTGGAGACCAATTGGAGTCCCCTTTGTTTCTGCTTCTGTGGCTGCAGCTTGGATAGAGATGACTTGCTCAGGCTGCAAGCAAAAGCCACAACTCACAGAAGGGGCAAAGAAGAGAAAATGAATCTCTGAGATATTTTTTTTCCTTTTTTTTTCTTTTTTTGAGGTGGAGTCTCGCTCTGTCACCCAGGCTGTAGTGCAATGGCGCAGTCTCAGCTCACTGCAACCTCCACCTCCCGGATTCAAGAGATTCTCCTGCCTCAGCCTCCCAAGTGGCTGGGATTACAGGCACCCACCACCACACCCAGCTAATTTTCGTATTTTTAGTAGAGACGGGTTTCACCATGCTGGCCAGGCTGGTCTCAAACTCCTGACCTCACGATCTGCCCACCTTGGCCTCCCAAAGTGCTGGGATTACAAGAACGAGCCACCGCACCTGGCCCCTCAGAATTTTTTTTTAACTTAGTTCTTTTCAACTTAGTTTAAAGTTGAGGCTCATATACATACATTCAGCCCAAGGCACCAGCCTAATCTCTCCTGGGTAAGCATTAGGAAAAGGCACCTCAACCTCTGGGGTACACAGCTTGTTGAGCAGATTGCAGGTTGAATTTTAGGACGCAGCCATTAAACCAACATGAATATGTCTATCAATGTCTGTATTGGTCATGTCCCAGAAAAAAAATAGATGGCACATTGAAATTAGGGCAATTCAAGGACAGCATAATAAAGGGACATTTATGAAGGTGTAGGCAGAGTATGGGATAGCACAGTACTCCTAGGATGAAGGTCAGAGTGTTACAAGAACCAGGTAAGGGAGGATCACTAGGAGAGGGTCTACTTGGCAGGAGGTGTGGAGCTGTGACCTCCAGAAAGCCCCACTGGAGGCCATTCCACAGGGGAGAAGTCAAAAGAATAAACACCCCAGCCTCATCTGCTTCTTCCCTCCAAACTCCTCTGGGGCGCCTCATAGGCTGAAGTTACCTGATAAGCCAGAGGTCAAGGTATCCCATTGAAGTGGCCTATGGGGTCAGCCTAGGGCAGAGAGCAGCAGGTTGAGGGTGGAGAGTGGATCTAGGGGCACACATGGGAAATATCCAGCTCACAGTTCATGACCGGGCTGCCCCAGTGGTTTATTCTTTCTAACGTGTGTTCAGAACCACCTCCTCGGTGCTGGACCTGTTCTGGGGGCACGTTGATGTGTCCATTATGAATCCCTAGCCTCGAGAAGCTTTTTTCCAGCAGGGAAAATGGTTGTTTGGGGGCTTTGGTTTTGGCTTTTTGCCTGTGAATCTCCTGCCAGAGAATAAGTCCCCAAATTTTGGGAAATGGAACTTCTTTATTTCCAGCCATGTGGCTTCAGCTTTCACCCTAGGTGACCAGAGGGGGCTGATATTATCCCGAAGGCTCCTGACAACTTCTATTTTATGAGTGCATCCACTTTATAAAATATTAACCAGAAAAGTATTAAAATTTGCAAATGCAACAACAGACCCAGAGGGACAACGTGATGATACCATTTTTTATATATTTTTTTAAAACATGAAAAGCATTTCTGAAAGACAAAGGAAAAAAAGGTGTGTCTTTGTTCTCCTTTCAATGTAAGCAGAGTGGTATATGTTTGTTTTCTGCGGACATTGCTGATTCACCAAGGATTCAAGAATTACTAATGAGTGTTTTTCACTTCTCATTTACAAATGGAATACATTAAGAAATTACTCAGCCACACTCGGTGTGGTTTTTAATTGAAACCAACCTCTCTGTACGGATGAGTGGAATTTCTTTTTCTCTGCACACAGGGGTTGGTTGACATTTTCAGCTTCAGAGGGCCTGAAATGTGGTCAACACATTTGTTTTCACATGAACAACCCCATGTGGTCTGTTTAAATAGAGTAACCAAATTGTCTAATTTTCACAGAACTCATTTCTCTCTGCACGAGCACTTTCATTGTTCCCCACCTTCTGAGGTAGAGAAAATGCACTAGATGACACTTTTATTAGCCTAACTTCTGCCCTTTATTTTTCCCCTTTAATATCAGACCCACAGAAAATAATAAGCAAACCATAGACTAGAAAGAATTATTAACCCAAATGTGACAAGTGAAGTGTAAATATCCTCTTATTTTCAAACACTAATAAAAACTAATAAAAATCTGATACCAACAAGTAGATGGACAAAGGACATAAACCAAATGATGCATCCAGAAATCACAGTTACTGCCCAGCGTGGTGGCTCATGCCTGTAATCCCAGCGCTTTGGGAGGCTGAGGCGCACGGATCACCTGAGGTCAGATGTTTGAGACCAGCCTGGCCAACACGGTGAAACGCTGTCTCTGCTAAAAATACAAAAATTAGCCAGGAGTGGTGGTGCACACCTGTAATCCCAGCTACTCAGGAGGCTGACACAAGAGAATCACTTGAATCCAGGAGGCAGAGGTTGCAGTGAGCCGAGATTGCGCTGCTGCACTCCAGCCTGGCCTGGGCGACAGAGTGAGACTCTGTCTTGAAAAAAATAAAATAAAATAAAGAAAGAAATCACAGTTACTAAACAAACATGGGGGGAATGTTCAACTTTATTTACTCGTTCATTTATTCATTCATTTGTTAAATACTTATTAAGCACCCACTCTGTGCCAAGTACCACACAAGATCCTGAAAATATGTAGATTAGTAGAACACAAACCTCATCCACAAAGGGTTCCAATTTTAGCAAGAGAGAACTGTAAACAAGATCTATGGACTAGGCTGTTGTGTTCAGGGAATGATAAGCAATTTAAAAAGCTAAAATGGTTAAGGTAGAAAGAGTGAACTCAGCCCTAAAAGAAACAAGAACTCAAACAAGTGCCATTTTCAATGAGGAAACTGGCACATATTTTTAATGTTAATATTTAATGTTGTAGTGCTTGCTTTGGCAGAAGATATATTGAACTGGGCTGACTCTGTGGCAATTTTAGTAGTAAAATCCATGACTCTCTAATTCTATTTCTGAAGTTCCATATTAAGGGTATAATCTATCGAAAAAGCTATATGTCATAAGATGTTTATATATCATACAACATTGTTATGTATAATAGCAAATAATTGGAATCATCCTAAATGCCCAACAACCACAGAAAGATTCAATAAATTATAGCATATTCATTTGCAAGAACATTCTGCATCCATTAGAAATGCTTATATTAACGGAAAACATGAAATTAAGTATACACTAAATAATCATCATGTTTAAATATGCCCAGAAAAGAAAATCTAGAAGGAAATACATTAAAATGCTAACAGTGATTGCATGCATGTGATTTTTTTCTTTTTCTTATGTTCCAAAAAATTTTTATTATTATTATTTTTGTAGAGACAAGGTTTCTTTAAGTTGCCAAGGCTGGTCTTGAACTCCTGGCCTAAAGCAACCCTCATATCTTAGCCTCCCAAAGTGCTGGCATTACAGGCATAAGCTACTGTTTCTGGACCCCCAACATTTTTAATACGATTAGTTTTTTTAGAATAAAGTTCAACCTTGTAAAAAATGAACAGTTAACCAAAAAACTGAAATTCTACTTCATTGTTTCAGTAGCAGTTTTCTATGGGTTTGAATTCAAATTGTGGGAAAAGCAGTGTTGTCAATCATGCATGAGTTCTGGATGGCAGGCCTATCTCTCTAATCACAGTGTTAATTTTGGCCAGGTCCTTTATCTCTCTCTTTTCATTTTCAGAAAATAAGAGAGATGGCCTGAATTCTCTCAAAAGCTCTTTCTGACCCAAAAATCTATGAATCTTGACATTCTAGGAAAAAGAGTTTTTGCCTCAATTCACTGAAATCACAAACAGTGCATTGAAACACTTCTTTACATAAATCAGGCACAAAATGTCAGACGGAGAGGAGGCATAATCAGAAAATAACGTGTGTTTGTCTCATCAGATATTTTTCAGAAAAGATTAAACAGTGTCTTTTCCCACTGAATTCATAGCATCCTCTAGTTCTTGTCCTTAAAATCAATCTTTACAGAAGAGCAAGCTTTATCCATTATTTAACACATATTTCAGTCTGTTGTTATTTGGCCATGAGGAGGCGGTGGCTTAAATGTAGAATTTGGGTTTCCTATGCCAATACAAAACCTGTAACCCTAATTTACAGGGCCTCCTGCCTTTTTTATGGTCATTCACAATATAGCATGAACTGAGCCTTTACAGATGCAGTGTCTCAAACTAAACGTAATCCTGGGAAATAAGTCTATCTAATTTCTTCAGAGTAGAGGAAAGTGCAGCATTAGTAGGGTATTTCTGGGCATATGCATGCTTGGAAGCCTGGAAATATTCCATTTCATTTTCCAGTTGGAGAGATTTTAAATGTTAGATCGCTTTCTTTTCCAAAGCAAACATATCATCTCTTGGATTGACTGAGACCTGATGGGTTTCCCTTGATCAAAGAACCACTTAAGGTGACAGCCTACATGGTCACAGAGCATGAAAAACCTTACCCACATTTCCCCCTCTTTCCCTGTAGGAGGATCCCTAAGGGTTAGGTGATACCAGAACTAGGAGAGGTAGGCAGAGAGAAACTGAAAGACCTGAAAGAAAATAATTTCTCTGGATAGTTTCTCTGACCACTGAGGGATTATTTAATAGTAAAAACATACACTACAAATCATCAGAGAGCTTGACTTTCCACCAGTTGGGGATTTACTTCTGGTCATGATTGCACATCTCTGAGAAGTTACTGACTCAGTCCTGGGCTCCTTCTTTTCCCCAACTACACACTCTCCTTGAGTCTCATCCAGTCCTCGGGCTTTGAATATTGCCAGGCTGATAATATCGACCTGAGACTCCTATATCTCACTGCCACGCGGATAGTTCCATTCGGATGTCCCACAAGGCATCTCCAACTTAAATATCCAGGAGAGACCTCTTGCCTTCCTGCCTCTCACTTCTAAATGTGGAGCTTGCCTGGAAACCTGGGAGTCATGATTGGCAACTTGCTTTTCTCTCATTCTTCACAGTCCTTTCAGCCAGCAGCTCCAGCCCCCATACCCGTGATTAGTCTCCACTTCCACTGCCACCACTCAGATTCCAGCCAAGGTCTCTTCTCGTGCAGCAACACCAACGACCTTCTAATTATTCCTTCAACTTCCATTCTTGCCCTCCTCCAATCTGTCGTCCACGCAGTGGCCAAAAGTTCTTTTTAAAACACGATTTGAATTACACCATTCTCCTGCTTAAGACTTTTACCTGGCTTTGCATTGTACCTTGAATGAAATTCAGGCTCCCGCCGTGGTGTTCTGGGCCGTGCATGGTAAGACCCATGCCCTCCTCTCCACCTCGCCCAGGCCACGTTGCCTGCTGCCCCCTGCACCACAGTCCCAGTGGTCTTAGTCATCTCAAGCATACACCATGCCTCAGAGCCTTTGCTCCTGCTGGCCCCTATTTCCCCTGCTCTTTGTGTGGCTGACTCTTTCCTCTCCATCAAGTTTCAGTGTCAACGTGACTTACTCTTACAGAGAAGCCTCCTCTCATTCGCTATGTAAAGAATTTCCCAACTTCATTGCTATCTGTGATAGTGCCCTGAATCTTTCTTAATAATTACTAAAAGTTGTCATTATTTTATTTATTGCTTATTTGATTACTATGCTATACCTTGTCTAGATTGTAAACTGTAAGGGAGCAGAGGTCTCGGTTATTTTTTCCCTATGTATGCCACATCCAGCACATAATAAATGCCCAATAAATATTTGCTGATTAAGTTAATTAATTAAAGAAGGCCATTAGTCATTGACACTTTTAGCTAGTTGCTAGAAAATCAACCTGATTAACCTAATCTGATTGAGGCATGCCACTGTGCTCCTTCTACCTCTGTGCAAGCAGAGTTTCAGCTACAGGAATGGAGAAAAAGAATTTGCAGGCTCATTTCCGTAAAGGTATAGAAAAGTCTATTTCTTCTTCAGGAGGGCATCTGAACAGTTTCCTCTTTACAGCACCTCCCCTAGAAAGTTTTTATTTCACAGAGTATAGACAATGTTAGTTATAATTTTTTATAGGCAATGCTCTCCATTTTATAGTTAATTACCATGTAGCTCAATAACATGTGTATTATTAAATATATGTCAGATTAATTTTCTTGTAATTTTTTTTTTTTTTGAGATGTAATTTCGCTCTGTCACCCAGGCTGGAGTGCGGTGGCACGATCTCGGCTAACTGCAGTCTCTGCCTCCCAGGTTCAAGTAATTCTCCTGCCTCAGCCTCTCAAGTAGCTGGGACTACAGGTGCACGCCACTACACCTGGCTAATTTTTACATTTTTAGTAGAGATGGGGTTTCACCATGTTGGCCAGGTTGGTCTCGAACTCCTGACATCAGGTGATCCACCCACCTCAGCCTCCCAAAGTGCTGGGATTATAGGCATGAGCCACTGCGCCCAGCTTCTTGTAAGTTATGATTTTTAACTATAGCTCAGATAGTACAGTTTTTCTTTTTAAAAGTGAGAGGAAACAATCCAGTGACTACATGGACTATTACACAAGCACATAAAGTTATTAAGTAAACATGGTAACAAATAGCAATGTTTATGATTCAGTTTAAGAGACAAAAGCAGAATACATAATTGTTCTGATTTGTAATTAAAATGATCAAAGTATGTATAAAAGCAAGCAATAACTAATAGGGAACAAGAAAAAACACCTTGGTTTTCTAGTGTGGTAGATTTATGTCTGTTTCTTTTTTAGTTATTTCCATTTTCTTGGTACAATAGTAATTGCACAATAAATTTGGGGCTGAACTAGGCTGTAAATATGATTGCTGGTGTGCCTGCAGTTAGTATAGTGACTGGAAACATGTGGGGTCGGTCAGAGAAAGTCTCGCTGCAATATTCCTGCTCATTTGGACTGTCTAAAAGTTGTGCCCTCTTGTTTAATGCTTCCAGCTTGATCATCTGGTTAAATTTGTCACTCAAATACTTCTATCAAGAAGTAGCAGCGAGAATAAACCTCTTTATTTGTATTTGTACTTCCTGCTTGTTCTCCATGTGAGTGCATGTTAGGGTAGAGGAAGCAGGGAGGACCATACACTTAAAATAAATGCAACCCCAAAATTACAAAGAACAATATGTGTTTGTATGTCCCATATGGAACAATTCCCAAGATATACTGTTAGCTCTCTTTAAAAAGTAGAAACATGCATATTATGCTGTCATAATTTAAAAACAGAATAAAACAAAAAAGAAAATCGAGAAGGGGATGCATATTTATATATGCATTTATAGAGAGATTTACATAAACTATATATTTGCATTAAAATATGTTCTTTTTCCTTTTCTTTTTTGACACAGAGTGTCACTCTGTCACCCAGGCTGGAGTGCAGTGGCGTGATCTCAGCTCACTGCAACCTCCACCTCCCAGATTCAAGCGATTCTTGTGCCTCAGCCTACCAAGTAGCTGGAACTACAGGCACATGCCACCACACCTGGCTAAGTTTTGTATTTTTAGTAGCGGAAGGGTTTTGTCATGTTGGCCAGGCTGGTCTCGAACTCCTGGCCTCAAGTGATCCGCCTGCCTGGGCCTCTCAAAGGACTGGGATTACAGATATGAGCCATGGCACCCAGCCAAAATATGTTCTATATCTATAATATAGATGCATATACTAGACACATGTACACACACACATCTGTTTTTAAGCAAATATGTATCTGGAAAGATAGACAATACGCCGGTAATAATGGTTACCTCTAGGGAAGGAAAGAGGGAACTGAGGGAGGTGGGGCACTTACCTTTCATCATATAATCTTTCATACTGTCTAAAATATTTACCATGGACATGTATTACTATTCAAACAAATGATTAGACATAATAAAGACAGAGAGCTATTTGCCAACAAACCAAAATAAACAATGAAATGAATTGCAGCGGGGCACGGTGGCTCACACCTGTAATCCCAGCACTTTGGGAGCCCGAGGCAAGTGGATCTTTTGAGGTCAGGAGTTTGAGATCAGCCTGGCCAACATGGTGAGACCCCATCTCTACTAAGAATACAAAAATAAGCTGGGCATGGTGGTGTGTGCCTATAATCACAGCTACTCAGGAGGCTGAGGCACGAGAATCACTTGAACCCAGGAGGCAGAGGTTGCAGTGAGCTGAGATCATGCCACTGCACTCCAGCCGGGGTGACAGAGTGAGACTCTGCCTCAAAAAAAAAAAAAAGAAGAAGTCAATTACATTAACTATTATCTCATTAATAGATTTTTTTAAATACATAAAAGATAAAAAACAAATGCAACTGGTATCGAGTGTTGTCTAAGTTGTGCATTGAGCATTTTATAAAGCATGATGGGTCAAGAATATGTTGGAGAAGTATAAAATGTCATTATCTATATTCATTTGCTAGGGCTGCTGTAACAAAAATACCACAGACTGGGTGGCTTAAACAATAAATTTTATTTTCTCACAGTTCTGAAAGCTAGAAGTCCAAGATCAAGGTGTCACAGGATTGGTTTCTCCTGAGGGCTTTCTCCTTGTCTTGTGGATGGCTGCGTTTTTTTTTTTTTTTTTTGAGACGGGGTCTTGCTCTGTCTCCCAGGCTGGAGTGAAATGGCGCAATCTCAGCTCACTGCAACCTCCGCCTCCTGGATTCAAACAATTTTCCTGCCTGGGACTAGAGGCATGCGCCACCACACTCAGCTAAGTTTTTTGTATTTTTAGTAGAGATGGGGGCTCACCATGTTGGTCAGGCTGGTCTCGATCTCCTGAACTCAAATGATCTGCCCCCCACAGCCTCCCAAAGTGCTGGGATTACAGGCGTGAGACACCACATCTGGCTGATGGCTGCCCTTCTTGCTGTGTCCTCACATGGTCTTTCCTCTGTGTGTGTGCATCCCTGGTGTTTCTCTGTGTGTGCAGATTTCCTCTTCTTATGAAGACACCAGTCAGATTGGATTATGGCCAAACCCAATGGCCTCATTTTAACTCAATTGCCTCCAAAGGCCCAATGTCCAAATACAGTCATATTCTGAAGAACCAGAGGTTAGATATTTGTATTAGTCCCTTCTAGCACTGCTATAAAGAAATACCTGAGACTGCGTACTTTATAAAGAAAAGAGGTGTAGTAATTGCCTCACAGTTCCACAGCCTGTACAGGTAGCATGGCTGGGGAGTTCTCAGGAAACTTACAATCATGGCAGAAGGTGAAGGGGAAGCAGGCACATCCTACATGGCAGAAGCAGAAGAAAGAGAGAGAAGGGGGAGGTGCTACACACTTTTAAACAACCAAATCTTGTGAGAACTCATTCACTATCATGAGAACAGCAATGAGGAAATCTGCTCCCATGATCCAATCTCCTTCCACCAGGCCCCTCCTCCAACATTGGAGATTACTATTTGACATGAGATTTGGGTGGGGACACAAATCCAAACCATATTAACCTTCAGCATATGAATTTTTGGGTGGAGGTTGGGGGGGACACAATTCAGTCCATATTATTCTTGAGGAATTTTCAGTTTAGTCGTGAGCTAAGCCATACATTCTTGAGTCAAAAAAAAAAAAAAAACCCCAGCAACTTTAAAGGTAGCAAACAAATGTCAAAGTGAATAATAATACAGAAAGTAATGAGCTGAGATTTTCTAGGGCAGTGGCAATTTCCCAGGCACAATCTCCTATTTAAAAAAATAAAAGTCAGGAATACATGAGGACAAAACCACTAGTTAGTTTTTGCCATAGTTACTGTGCATAGGGCAAGGGGCCTGTCTGCTTTTGATTTGGAAAAACAATTAGTTCAGCAAATTATAATATGGCAGACATGACACTAAAGCAATCTATTAATTTAATCAATCTGGTGAAAAATATTATTCCTAATGCGTTTGAAATTGTCTAGGCAGGAGAAAATTAGATTGTTTGAATGTTTTATTTGTTACCAATCATGTTTTGAAAAGAACAGGTGAGTGGGACCTATACATGTAAAAATGCTAAAATTCCTCCATCCAGAAGGAAGCATTGTTAAGTCATCTCTATTCATCAGTTCATGCAGCAAATTTTGAATTGAGAGCTCCAACGATGTACTTGGGCCATTTGTGGGCTTGAGATAGATCAAAAAAAAAAAGGAACCACCTTGTCAGCCTTCTGCAGCCCTCAGTCCAGCCAATTGGAGCTTCCAGCTGTTAACTGTTTTACTTGTTATTTTAACACAATGACCTGTCTTCTTCTTTCCCATTTTCTCCTCCTCTTACTTCTTTCCTCATTTTTGTCCCTTTCTGTTCTTCATTTTAGTGGTAAAAGAACGCATGATCAACAACCACAACAAATTGACATGGTCCCTAATCTCCCAGATCCATAAAAATGGTGGTGAAACCATTCTATGACCCACTCTTTACAGGGGCACCTAATAATATTCAGTTCAACCGGCTCCAAAGGCATTGTGAGGGCCTCTTTGTCAATGTATGTAAAAGCATTTTCGAGCAGTAAAGGCCTCTTTAAATGTTGGCTATTACTACAATGGAGAACTAAACAAAGTAAAGAACTCAAAGGAAAAAGGGGTCCATTGAAGCTGGTCAATTGGTCAAGTATACTGTAACTGTTAGGTATCTTGGAGCTAAGAAGATGCTTTTGTACCCTCTGATGGTAAAATGAGGAGCCATGTCATGAGGGAAACAAATATATATCATGGAACAAAGGGAATTTCTGTATCCTCTTGATTTTTTGTGAACTGTTTATAAATCAGTGTTTGCTTTTAATTTTCCTACTTGTGATATATCTGTTTTGTAGGCCTCTCAAAAAGATTAATCATAAAACAGAACAAGATGGTACACTGAATTCCAGAACACAAGAAAGAGACCCAAGAAACTCAAGTGTCAATCAGCTACTCAAGTCATGATACAAAGACAGTTTAAAAGCTAAGCAAAGTATGGACCTAGTGACCTGCAGGTTGACTACAACAAATACCCTTTCCTCAAATGGGGTTGCAGTCACATTACAACTGCAGAGTCAATCCATACTGCTCTCTGCCAGAGGCAGCTGTAGCTGCTCCATGATTGCCTAGGCCCTGCAACAAATACCAAGAGTGACTCCAAAACAATTCCCCAGGTCATTGACCCAGGTCATTGACATAGACCTAGACCGGTATATTCCCCTGCAACACAAAATCCTAGGGGAAAATCTAAATAAAGAAAGGGATTGTCAGCTCCATTTTCTCAGTTTAAATCCACAGAAGAAAAACACCATAGATTTTTTTTTGTTTGTTTTTACAGAGTTTTGCTCTGTAGCCCAGGCTGGAGTGCAGTGGTGTGATCTCAGCTCACTGCAACCTCCACCTCCCAGGTTCAAGCGATTTTCCTGCCTCAGTCTCCTGAGTAGCTGAGATTACAGGTGCCTGCCACCATGCCTGGCTATCTTTTTTTTTTTTTAACAAAAGAAAGATTAGACCACTTTTTAGATTAATTTACCTTCTTGCAGAGGTTTATTTGCTTGTTTGTTTTTCCAACTTAACCAGTCATTCTAAATAGCAAAATTTTATTTGGCCTCAAGGTCCAGCTTGCTTTTCACTCAAAGAACACCTATCTGGTTTTGAACGAGGGGCTCTTGGACCTTTCCTCTTCCTACAGGGAAGTATCCACTTCCTATCTGGGATCAGGGACTTCCCAGTTACTCCCGAGGTGGGGAGGACACTGGATCTGGAAGGCTGGCCCCCTACTCACAGTCTCCGTGCTTGTCTACCAGATGGCACCAGCTCCCACTAAGCTGAGCCAGAGGGCGCATCTGGAAAGCACTTGAGACATATGGAACTCATCACTGTCATCACTGTGCCCCTCCCTCCCCTGCTTCAGTGCTTCTAAGAAGGGAGAGGCTGACACGAACCCTGGGGAGTCAGATCTGCTGTGCAGTTTACATGAACCCAGCATTCATGGTTAGACAGAAGTCCTCTGGGCTGACTGTACTCTCCTGACACTTTCGTAAGCTCTCACTAGCATATGTAAAAGGAGGGAGGAGATGCCACATGCTGCACAAACAGTGTTTAAGCCTCTGTGTCTTTCCCACTGGAAGGTAGAGTGTTATGAAGGAAAAGTCATGGGCTTTGGAGTCAGAATCCTGTCTTTGCTACTGTACTAATCAACTTAGGCTATGGCATGATGTGGTAACAAACAACCCCAAATCTCAGTGGCTTGGAATAGCAAAGGTTTATTTCTCACTCAGGCTACATATCAGCTGCATCTGTCTTCCCTGTGGTCATTATCTCCAGACCCAGACTAAAGGAGCAGCCAGTATCTGGGAAATTGATCTTGTGAAATAGAAAAAAAGACAATGGAATCATATGTTGGCTTTTAAAGTTTCTGCTCACATCACTTCCATTTATATTTTATGGACAAAACAAATCATATGGCCAAGCCTGACCCCAAAAAAGCAGGGATTTTTTTTTTTTTTTTTTTTTTGAGATGGAGTCTTGCTCCGTCACCAGGTTGGAGTGCAGTGGCGCAATCTCGGCTCACTGCAACCTCCGCTTCCCAGGTTCAAGCAATTCTCCTGCCTCAGCCTTCCGAGTAGCTGGGATTACAGGCATGTGCCACCACGCCCAGCTAATTTTTCTATTTTTAGTAGAGACGGGGTTTCACCATGTTGATCAGGCTGGTCTCGATCTCGTGACCTCGTGATCCACCCACCTCGGCCTCCCAAAGTGCTGGGATTACAGGCATGAGCCACCACGCCCGGCCCAAAGCAGGGATATTTAACACACTCCCAAATAGCAAATAGATTGAGCAATAATACAACTTACTACAGCCACTTACTCTGTGTCCTGTGGCAAATTACTGTGATGTAAAAATGATGATGTACACCTGGAGATGATGATAGGATGATTAAATAAAATACAGGTTTAAAATAGAGTATTATGTTCCCCTAGCCAGGGGAAGCAGTGAGGGACTGTGCCATGAGGGATGGTGCTATCTGGCCCAGATACTATGCTTTTCCCACAGTCTTCTCAACCTGTAGACCAGAAGATTCTCTCTGGCACCTACACCACCAGGGCCCTGGGTTTCAAGCACAAAACTGGGCAGCCGTTTGGGCAGACACCAAGCTAGCTGCAGGAGTTCTTTTTTCATACCCCAGTGGTGCCAGGAATGCCAGTGAGACAGAACCGTTCACTCCCCTGGAAAGAGGGCTGAAGCCAGGGAGCCGAGTGATCTTGCTCAGTGGATCCCACCACCATGGAGCCCAGCAAGCTAAGATCAACTGGCTTGAAATGCTCACTGCCTGCACAGTAATCTGAAATCAAACTGAGATGCTGGAGCTTGGTAGGGGGAGGAGCATCCACCATTACGGAGGCTTGAGTAGGCGGCTTTCCCCTCACAGTGTAAACAAAGCCACCAGGAAGTTCAGACTGGGTGCGGAACCCACGACAGCATGACAAAGCTACTGTAGCCAGACTGCCTCACTAGATTCCTCTTCTGTGGGAAGGGCATCTCTGAAAGGAAGGCAGTAGCCCCAGTCAGGGACATATAGATAAATCTCCCATCTCCCTGGGACAGAGCACCTGGGGAAAGGGGCGGCTGGGAGAACAGCTTCAGCAGGCTTAAAGGTTCCTGCCTGCCAGTTCTGAAGAGAGCAGCGGATCTCCCAGCACAGTGCTCAAGCTCTGCTAAGGGACAGACTGCCTCCTCAAGTGGGTCCCTGATCCCCGTGCTTCCTGACTGGAAGACACCTCCCAGCAGGAGTTGACGGACACTTCATACAAGAGAGCTCCAGCTGGCATCTGGCAGGTGCCCCTCTGGGACGAAGCTTCCAGAGGAAGGAGCAGGCAGCAATCTTTGCTGTTCTGCAGCCTCTGCTGGTGATACCCAGGCAAACAGGTCTGGAGTGGACCTCCAGCAAACTCCAGCAGACCTGCAGAAGAGGGACCTGACTGTTACAAAGAAAACTAACAAACAGAAAGCATTAGCATCAACATCAACAAAAAGCATGCCCACGCAAAAACCCCATCTGAAGGTCACCAAAATCAAAGACTATAGGTAGATAATCCACAAAGATGAGGCAAAACTAGCACAAAAAGGCTGAAAATTCCAAAAACCAGAATGCCTCTTCTCCTCCAAAGGATCACAACTCCTCACCAGCAAGGGAACAAAACTGGATGGAAAATGAGCTTGATGAAATGACAGAAGTAGGTTTCAGAAGGTGGGTAATAACAAACTCCTCCGATCTAAGGAGCGTGTTCTAACCCAATGCAAAGAAGCTAAGAACCTTGATAAAAGGTTACAGGAACTGCTAAATAGAATAACCAGTTTAGAGAAGAACATAAATGACCTGATGGTGCTGAAAAACACAGCACAAGAACTTCATGAAGCATACACAAGTATCAATAGCCAAATCAATCAAGCAGAAGAAAGGATATCAGAGAAGATCAACTTAATGAAATAAAGATCAACTTAATGAAATAAAGACAAGATTAGAGAAAAAAAAGAATGAAAAGGAATGAACAAAGCCTCCAAGAAATATGGGACTATGTGAAAAGACCAAACCTACGTTTGATTGGTGTACCTGAATGTGATGGGGAGAATGGAACCAAGTTGGAAAACACACTTCGGGATATTATCCAGCAGAACTTCCCCAACCTAGCAAGACAGGCTAACATTCAAATTCAGGAAATACAGAGAACACCACAAAGATATTCCTCGATAAGAGCAACCCCAAAACACATAATCGTCAGATTTACCAAGGTTGAAATGAAGGAAAAAATGTTAAGGGCAGCCAGAGAAAAAGGTCGGGTCACCCACAAAGGGAAGCCCATCAGACTAACAGTGGATCTCTCTGAAGAAACTCTACAAGCCAGAAGAGAGTGGGGGTCAATATTTAACATTCTTAAAGAAAAGAATTTTCAACCCAGAATTTCATATGCAGCCAAACTAAGCTTCATAAGCAAAGGAGAAATAAAATCCTTTACAGACAAGCAAATGCTGAGGGATTTTGTCACTACCAGGCCGGCCTTACAAGAGCTACTGAAGAAGGCACTAAATATGGAAAGGAAAAACTGGTCCCAGCCATGGCAAAAACATACCAAAATGTAAAGACCATCGACACTATAAAGAAACTGCATCAACTAATGGGTAAAATAACCAGCTAGCATCATAATGACAGGATCAAATTCACACATAACAATATTAACCTTAAATGTAAATGTGCTAAGTGCCCCAGTTAAAAGACACCGACTGGCAAATTGGATAAAGAGTTAAGACACATCAGTGTGCTGTATTCAGGAGACCCATCTCACATGCAAAGACACACATAGGCTCAAAATAAAGGGATGAAGGAATATTTACCAAGAAAATGGAAAGCAAAAAAAGCAGGGATTGCAATCCTAGTCTCTGATAAAACAGACTTTAAACCAACAAAGATAAAAAAAAAAGGCAAAGAAGGGCATTACATAATCGTAAAGGGATCAATGCAGCAAGAAGAGCTAACTATCCTAAACATATATGCACCCAATACAAGAGCACCCAGATTCATAATGCAAGTTCTTAGAGACCTAGAAAGAGATTTAGGCTCCCACACAATAATAGTGGGAGACTTTAACACCCCACTGTCAATATTAGAGAGATCAACAGGAGAGAAAATTAACAAGGATATTCAGGACTTGAACTCAGCTCTGGACCAAGCAGACCTAAGAGACATCTGCAGAACTCTCCACCCCAAATCAACAGAATAAACATTCTTCTCAGCACCACATCGCACTTATTCTAAAATAGACCACATAATTGGAAGTAAAACATTCCTCAGCAAATGTGAAAAAACAGAAATCATAACAGTCTCTCAGGCCACAGTGCAATCAAATTAGACTCAGGATTAAGAAATTCACTCAAAACTGCACAACTACATGGAAATTGAACAACCTGCTCCTGGATGACTACTGGGTAAATAATGAAATTAAGGCAGAAATAAATAAGTCCCTTGAAACCAATGAGAAAAAAGACACAACGTACCAGAATCTCTGGGACACAGCTAAAGCAGTGCTAGAGGGAAATTTATAGTACTACATTCCCACAGGAGAAAGCAGGAAAAATCTAAAATTGACACCCTAACATCACAATTAAAAGAACTGGAGAAGCAAGAGCAAACAAATTCAAAAGCTAGCAGAAGACAAGAAATAACTAAGATCAGAGCAGAACTGAAGAAGATAGAGACACAGAAAACCCTTCAAAAAAATCAAAGAATCCAGGAGCTGGTTTTTTGAAAACATTAACAAAATAGATAGACTGCTAGCCAGCCTAATAAAGAAGAAAAGAGAGAAGAATCAAATAGACAAATAAAAATGATAATGAGGATATTACCACTGATCTCACAGAAATACAAACTACAGAGTATACTATAAACACCTCTACACAAATAAACTAGAAAATCTAGAATAAATGGATAAACTCCTGGAGACATACACCCTCCAAAGACTAAACCAGGAAGAAGTTGAATCCCTGAAGAGACCAATAACAAGTTCTGAAATTGAGGCAGTAATTAATAGCCTACCAAGCAAAAAAAAACAAAAAAACTCAGGACTAGACAGATTTACAGCCAAATTCTACCAGAGGTAGAAAGAGGAGCTGGTATCATTCCTTCTGAAACTATTCCAAACAATAGAAAAAGGGGGACTCCTCCCTAACTCATTTTATGAGGCCAGCATCATCCTGATACCAAAACCTGGCAGAGACAAAACAAAAAAAGAAAATTTCAGGCCAATATCTCTGATTAACATCGATGCAAAAATCCTCAATAAAATACTGGCAAACCGAATCCAGCAGCACATTAAAAAGCTTATCCACCATGATCAAGTCGGCTTCACCCCGGGATCCAAGGGGCTCCATTTTCAACATATGCAAATCAGTAAACGTAATCCATCACATAAACAGAACCAAAGACAAAAGCCACACGATTATCTCAATAGATGCAGAAAAGCCTTTGATAAAATTCAACACCCCTTCATGCTAAAAACACTCAATAAAGTAGGTATTGATGGAATGTATCTCAAAATAATAAGAGCTATTTATGACAAACCCATAGCCAATATCATACTGAATGGGCAAAAGCTGGAAGCATTCCCTTTGAAAACTGGCACAAGACAAGGATGCCCTCTCTCACCACTCCTATTCAACATAGTGTTGGAAGTTCTGGCCAAGACAATCAGGCAAGAGAAAGAAATAAAGGGTATTCAAATAAAAAGAGAGGAAGTCAAATTGTCTCTATTTGCAGATAACATGATTGTATATTTAGAAAACCCCACTGTCTCAGCCCAAAAACTCTTTAGGCTGATAAGCAACTTCAGCAAATTCTCAGGATACAAAATCAACGTGCAAAAATTACAAGAATTTCTATACACCAATAACAGACAAACAGAGAGCGAAATCATGAATGAACTCCCATTCACAATTGCTGCAAAGAGAATAAAATACCTAGGAATACAACTTACAAGGGTGGTGAAGGACCTCTTCGAGGAGAACTACAAACCATTGTTCAAGGAAATAAGAGAAGACACAAATGGAAAAACATTCCATTTGAAGAATCAATATCATGAAAATGGTCATACTGCCCAAAGTAATTTATAGATTCAATGCTATTCCCATCATTGGGAATCCCATCAAGCTACCATTGACTTTCTTCACAGAATTAGAAAAAACTACTTTAAATTTCATATGGAACCAAAAAAGAGCCCGTATAGCCAAGACAATCCTAAGCAAAAAGAACAAAGCTGGAGGCATCGTGTTACCTGGCCTCTAACTATACTACAAGGCTACAGTAACCAAAACAGCATGGTACTGGTACCAAGACAGATATATAGACCAATGGAACAGAACAGAGGCCTCAGAAATAACACCACACATCTGCAACCATCAGAACTTTGACAAATCTGACAAAAACAAGCAATGGGTAAGGATTCCCTATTTAATAAACAGTGTTGGGAAAACTTGCTAGTCATATGTAGAAAACTGAAACTGGACCCCTTTCTTTTTTTTTTTTTTTTTTTTTGAGACGAAGTCTTGCTCTATTGCCCAGGCTGGAGTGCAGTGGCGCGATCTCGGCTCACTGCAAGCTCCGCCTCCTGGGTTCATGCCATTCTTCTGCCTCAGCCTCTTGAGTAGCTGGGACTACAGGTGCCTGCCACCACACCTGGCTAATTTTTTTTTTTTTTTTTTGTATTTTTAGTAGAGACGGGGATTCACTGTGTTAGTCAGGATGGTCTCGATCTCCTGGCCTCGTGATCCACCCGCCTCGGCCTCCCAAAGTGCTGGGATTACAGGCGTGAGCCACCACGCCCGGCCACCTTTCTTACACCTTACACAAAAATTAACTCAAGATGGATTAAAGACTTAAACGTAAGACATAAAACCATAAAAACCCTAGAAGAAAACCTGGGTAATGCCATTCAGGACATAGGCATGCCATGCGCAAAGACTTCATGACTGAAACTCCAAAAGCAATTGCAACAAAAGCCAAAATTGACAAATGGGATCTAATTAAACTAAAGAGCTTCTGCATAGCAAAAGAAACTGCCATCAGTGTGAATAGGCAACCTACAGAATGAGAAAAAATTTTGCAATCTATCCATCTGATAAAGGGTTAATATCTAGAATCTACAAGGAACTTAAACAAATTTACAAGAAAAAAACAACCCCATCAAAAAGTGGGAAAAGGATATGAACAGACACTTCTCAAAAGAAGACATTTATACAGCCAACAAACATATGAAAAAAAGTTCATCATCACTGGTCATTAGAGAAATGCAAATCAAAACCACAATGAGATACCATGTCACACCAGTTAGAATGGTGATCATTAAAAAGTCAGGAAACAATAGATGCTGGAGAGGAAGTGAAGAAATAGGAACGCTTTTACACTGTTGGTGGGAGTGTAAATTCGTTCACCCATTGTGGAAGACAGTGTGACAATTCCTCAAGGATCTAGAACCAGAAATGCCATTCGACCCAGCAATCCCATTACTGGGTATATAACCAAAGGATTATAAATAACTGTAGTATAAAGACACATGCACACATATGTTTATTGCAGCACTATTCACAATAGCAAAGACTTGGAACCAACCCAAATGCCCATCAATGATAGACTGGATAAAGAAAATGTGGCACATATTCACCATGGAATACTATGCAGCCATAAAAAATGAGTTCATGTCCTTTGCAGGAACATGGATGAAGCTGGAAACCATTATTGTCAGCAAACTAACATAGGAACAGAAAATCAAACACCGCATGTTCTCACTCGTAAGTGGGAATTGAATAATGAGAACACATGGACACAGGGAGGGGAACATCACACACCAGGGTCTGTCAGGGGGTTGGGGGCAAGGGGAGGGATAGCATTAGGAGAAGTACCTAACGTAGAAGACGGATTGATGGGTGCAGCAAACCACCATGGCACATGTATAGCTATGTAACAAACCTGCACGTTTTGCACATACATCCCAGAACTTAAAGTATAACAAAAACAAAATCAAACAAAAAAAAGTAAGGTTAGGGAGGCATGACAGTAACTACATTCTGATAATAAACATGTCTTTTTTATTAAAATAAAAAATAAAAAAATAGAGTATTACATAGTAAGAGCTAAATAAGTTAATTCTCACCGACACATTATATACTGGACTTATCGGTCAAAGAAATTCTCAATCCTTCAGAACTAGCTATAATGATACTCTAATAATATGCAGATGTGGCAAGGTTAATTACTTCTCTTGGGAAATACTTGCATTTTAATAATGGCCTTGCATGCTGTTTTAACCTAAATGCTTAACTCTGATAGTGGGAATGTCAGACACGGTAAGGGGTTAATCTACTTGACTGCTTGCCTCCCTGCACCTGTGGCCCTCTAAGCTTTTCAATTTGGACCATTTAACCTTGATGCGTGGATTCAGCCCTGGGACAGGGCCTGGCACTATTTCTCTCTCACACTAGAAAGGATTACGTAACCCCAGCACAGTCACTTGGTGACTCAGTCCCAACACAACTTCAAAAATAGTTTCATGCAGTCTTTTCCTGTGCTTCTTATAGGTTCCAATGGCTGAGTCCTCATCTTTGTTCCTGAACCTGTGCCAGTTTCTTCTAAAGCCTGCCTTGCTTTCCCACTTATCCCCACCTCCTAGAGTTCAGAGACGTCCTGCTGACCCTCAGCCTGCAATTTCTTATTTTACAAGCTTCTTATATAAATTAAACAATGTCACAGTCCTCCCACCTGCTGGAACACTCACCCTTTGCCTCCCACAGAACCTCCCTGATACCCACGGTCCACCCATCTGGACCACCACCTGTTGACAACTGACGGTACCTCCTATGTCCCTACTGATGTCTTGGGCTCAGTGAATCACATTCTGTTGGTCCTGGCACCAACCACACTCTAGTTCAGTAGCAGAAAGGAGAGAGGCATTTTGTAGAGTTGTTAAATCACTGGTACCAAAGCCAGGCCTGGATGATATCCCATAAATAGTTCCTCCAGGCATCAAAGCATAAGACATTTCTTCAGTCACTGGAGTCATCACAGCTGCCCCTCATAAAGTGTCAACACTATCATGCCAGTGGCAGGGAACAGAGGCAACTCTAAACAACAGAAGCAGGGGTCCATATCTGTGGGGTTCTGACTCCCTCAAGGCTTTGTGGTGATGATACTAAGGATCTCTAAACATGTTTTCGTGTTTTCAAAAATTCCTGAAATGCTTTCTATTGTCCTAGAATTGGTGGCCAGTTATCTTTACTTTCTAACAGTGCCATCTATGGTTGCACCATGCACTGCCCAAGAACATACTAAGAGCTAACAAAACATCCCTACTACTCCCAAGCATCACACCAGCCCAGTTTACACAAGAAGGCTGGAAGTTGGGAAAGCACATGTGATGTGTCCCATTGCAGGGAGTTCTGTGTTCATGGTGAGAGGCTTTTCCTCTGTTTACCAGCAGGGAGGACAGGCACTTTCTTCTCACATGTAATATTTGGTGTAACATTAGCTGCTGTAATCGGTGAATCCAAAATTCCATTATGGCTCAAACACAATAGTTTCTTTCTCACATAACAGTTCAAAGCAGGTGTTGTAGTTCCACCAAGGGCTTTCCTCTGTACGTGATTCAGGGATTCTGAGTTTTTCCATCATATTGTTTTGCCATCATTTCCTGGGTCCTCATGATCTGCAACCAGCCGTTGGAAGTGGCAAGAGCGCCTGAAGTGAGCACATCTGCCTCCTAAATGCTTTGACCTGGATATGCACCACATCACTTCTGCTCACAACCCATTGGTGAGAACCAGTCATGTGGGCACACCTGGAGGCAAAGGGGCTGGGAATTGTAGGCCCTGATTGGAAAGCTCTTTCTGAGAGACATGGGGAAGAGAGGGAAGCACAAATCCTAGTGGATATCTACCTACAACTGCCACATTACCTAGTAATATCAAGTGAAGGAGAGAAGGCTTCACGGGCATCACTTGTAGAGATTGAAGGTCCCTGCAAGAAGTGGAGGCTATCACTCCACCTCTGGATGGATGCTTACAGAGCCACACAATCTCAATCTTGTTCTGGAATCGCAGAGAGTGGTAACAGAATTGTTAGGATACCTAAACATATGTCCACTGATGGGGCAGAAGAGATGCTTCTGAACCCAGAGACTAGTGCTTGCTTTTTGTCTGGATATTTCTAAAAAAGAGTTAGCAGAGTGAGAAATATCAATAATATACCATATCATGTAAGAAAATGATGAGACTGGGACAGCCTCATCCCAGTCCACCATGACTCTCAGAAGGTATGGAACATACCTCAATGATTTTTATAGCATCATGAAAAGGAACATAGAAGCTGTAGCAGGAGAGAGGAGATGTAAGGTTGTCAGGGCAGCTATGAGCCAAGTGAGGTAATACCCTATTGGGAGAGGAGGGTAGGAACCTGGACTGCTAGCCAGGCTGAAAAAGAGATCCAATTGTCTCTCTCTGAGGGGATCTCAGTACCAAGGGTGGTCGTGGGCCGGGAAACAGACAGAATTTGACACCACCCTCAAGGAAACCTTGAAGACTACCTATGCAAAACTACCCCATCAACTACCCCATCTGTTTGGGCCACCAGCATCTAACAGAACCAGATCAGAACAGAGCTTGGTCAGAGATATCTCCCTACCACACATATGTGGCCAGTTATGTAAGATGACCCCTGCCTGCACCATCTCTCCTTCTTGACTCCTAGCACCCCAGAGGATGAGTACCTAAAAGAGGAGGAGAGATAGGGGTGTGTGCATCTTCATCCTCCTCTGCTTCCAACATTTAAAGGTCACTGCTCAGGTCTGTGCTGCAAGGACAGGGTCGGGGGATGAGTTTTAAATAGACTTAGAAATTGAAAGTTTTAAATAGACTTAGAAATTGAACTGGACTCATAATTAAACAAAGGTGACAAGAAAGTTATGAAATCAGCTGAATATGGTGTTAAGAAACAGGAAATAGGGGACTTATCGGAGCATAGCTTATAGTGGTAATTGGGAAAATAAAACTGTTATACTCCACTGAGTTTTATCTTCTCAATACATTCATTGTTAAACCTATTCCTGAGCCATTACCTGCATGTATTTTCCTGATTAAGAGCTAACTTTCTAATTTCAGGAGTGGGGTTAAATGCAGGCTGTTTTTTCTTTAAAGTGTGGGCATTAATTTAGGGAAGATGGTCTGGTAACCACAGGTAAAACCCAACCAAGCTTTAATTTTGCCTTCCAATCTCCCTTGTCTCAAAAGGGCCCCAAAAGAAGATGGGGCTCCCAGCCAACAGAAGAATAAAGTTTCTTCTCATTCCAAGCAGGATTTCACGCTCACAGATGGTGAAGAGGAAATGGAGTGGTTCCAACTGTGACTTCCTAAGAAAACTAGGTCTTCTTCCTCCCATTAGGGGAAAAGACAGCACTGGCATAGGTTTCAGAAGGTGCACCACAACAGCATGGACTAATGCGTTGCATTACCTTAGGCTATCCTGGAGACAGTGGTTATAGCCCTGAATCTTAACAAGAAGGCAAGGCCTCATATTCACTGATTTATGATCTATTTGGCAGATACTGAACATCACAGCATGTCAGGCATTCTCTGCTTCACTGTTGGGATACATCAGTGAACAAACAGAAAATTCCTACCCTAGTAGAGCTCACATTGTGGCGGGGGAGAGAAAGAATCAACAATGAAAATGTCATATATGTTTTTAATGAAGTGAGTGAGCAGGCTGTGCAGTTATCTTGGGGACGAGCATTCCAGACAGAGGCTCTGAGGCAGGAGCTTGCCTGGATTTTTTGAGGAACAATGAGGACGCCAGGGTGACTGGAGCAGATTTTGAGTGGAGGGATATGCAGCAGGAGATGTGGTCAGAGAGGTAAGTTGGGGTGATCTTGAGGACTCTGGCTTGTGCTCTGAGTGAAACTGAGAGCCATCAGAGGGTTCTGTGCAAAGGAGTAACATGATCTGAATTACATCCCCAGAAAGGATCTGGGGTCAGGTCTGGTGGCTTATGCCTGTAATCCCAGCATTTTGGGAGGCCAAGGTGGGCAGATCACCTGAGGTCAGGAGTTCAAGACTAGCCTGGACAACATGGTGAAACCCCATCTCTACTAAAAATACAAAAGTTAGCCAGGTTTGTGGTGCACACCCATAATCCCAACTACTCGGAAGGCTGAGGCAGGAGAATCACTTGAACCTGGGAGGCGGAGTTTGCAGTGAGCCAAGATCATGCCACTACACTCCACCCTGGGCAACAGAGCAAGACTCTGTCTCAAAAGAAAAAAAAAATAAAGTTAAAAAATTAAAATTTAAAAATAAATTAAAAATTAAAAGGACCTGGCTGGGTGTGGTGGCTCACATCTGTAATCCCAGCACTTTGGGAGGCCAAGGCATGTGGATCACTTGAGGCCAGGAGTTGGAGATCATTCTGGGTAACATGACAAAATCCCATCTCTACAAAATAATACAAAAAATAAAAAAATAAAAAATAAACTGGCCAGGCATAGTGGCGCTTGCCCATAGTCCCAGCTACTCAAGAGGCTGAGGTGGGAGGATCACCTGATCCCAGGATGTCAAAGCTGCAGTGAGCCGTGATCGCAACACTGCACTCCAGCCTAGATGACAGAGTGAGACTCTGTCTGAGAATAAAAAAAATCATTCTCAGTACTTGAAAAACTGGAAGAGAAACTCTAGGGAAGGCAAGGGTGAATGTGTAGAAACTCAGTGGGTGGCTACAGAAATGATTCAGCTAAGAGATTATGGAAACTTGGGCTGGAATAGTGAGAAATTGCCAGATATGCATTTTTTTAATGTAGAGCTGGTGCAGTTTTCTTTTCTTTTTTCTTTTTTATTATTTATTTATTTATTTATTTTATTTTTTTTTTGAGACGGAGTCTCGCTCTGTAGCCCAGGCTGGAGTGCAGTGGTGCGATCTCAGCTCACTGCAAGCTCTGCCTCCCAGGTTCACGCCATTCTCCCGCCTCAGCCTCCTGAGTAGCTGGGACTACAGACGCCCACCACCACACCTGGAAAATTTTGTTTTTGTATTTTTAGTAGAGACGGGGTTTCACCGTGTTAGCCAGGATGGCCTTGATCTCCTGACCTCGTGATCCACCCGCCTCGGCCTCCCAAAATGCTGGGATTACAGGAGTGAGCCACTGCACCCGGCCAAGCCAGTGCAGTTTTCTAATGGATTGGATATGGGGTATGAGAGAAAGACAGATATCATGATGTATACGACTTTTTAGTCTGTGCAACTGGAATATGAAGTGGTCATCAATGTGGGTAGGAAAGACTGCAAAGCAGCAGGCTTTACAGAGTATATCAAGAGGTCAGTTTTGATCATGTTAAATTTGAGACACTCAGGAAAGGATTTTGAGTTAGCAGCTGGATATGTGAGTAGCACTCAGGAGAAAGGTTCAGGCTGGAGATAAAAATTGGGAACTCATAGGCATATGCATGGTTTTTAAAGCCCTGAGAAAAGATTAGATTACCAGGGTTAAGGGTGGAGAGTCAGTGTAGACAGAAAAAAGAATCAAGAACAGTGCAATGGGACACTGAAATGTTAAGAGGTTAGGAAAAAGAGGAGAAATCAACAAAGGAGATGTAGGAGGGATTAGTGAGGTATAAGAATAGTCAGTGGTTTGCTGGTAACTTTATAACATCCAGTTTATCAGAAAAAAAAACAATCCTGATATATAGAGCTTGCAAATTTCCATGATGTAAATAATTCAACTATGGCCAATGTTAAGTTACCAGTGTGGAATCAACTACTCATGAATTTCTTAAAACTTTAACAATCACCAGCCCTCACGAACCAATATTAACCAGCTCTACCACACCACTTATATGACTATCACGAACAGCTATAAACTACAAAATTTTAAATCATAGTTTAAATGAATAATTTTCTTACAATATATTTTAAAATGACAAAATCAACACAAGGAGAAATAAAAAACTTGTATAAGCCATTTACCATCCAAGAAGTTATAATTGCAATCAAAGCTCCCTCTTTCCTCCAAAAAAAGAATCACACCCAGATGATTTCATATTATGAGTTCTATCAAACTTTGAGTGAGATAATTACTCTCTGATATAAGTTGTTTAAGAAGTAAAAAGGAAAAGCTGTCCAACTGGCTTTATTCAGATTGTATAATCTTGGTAATTAAACTGGGAAAGGGCACCATAAGACTTGAAAATTTACAGGCCAATTTCACTTTTGAACAAAAATACAAAAGCCAAAAAAAAAATGCTAACTGTCTTACTTTGAGATCCCTCAAAGCAGATCCTATTATAAGGATTCATGGGCAATGCTTTTATTTGGAAGGTGATGCAAAGAAACAGCAGTGAGTGAGTGAAGAGGTGAAAGAGTAAGAGGAAGGAAGCAAATGCACTTTCAAACAAGTTACCACTGTGAGTAACTTGAGTTTAATCTATTGAGTTAAACTGAAAGCCAGTGTAGAACACATGCCTCAGTGTTATTCCTCCTGAAGGACATGGAAACTGGGTCCTTTATTCTCCCAATATATCAGTCATTCGTTGATGGCTATTCCTGAGATAGAAGAAGTGTTATTGGTCTGGTGCTTACAGTCTGACATGCACTCAGGCAGGGGAGGCCTAGTGACCACAGAAAACTCTGAGGCCAAGAATCACAGATGCTGCTAGTCAGCTTGTCATGCACAGAAATGGTCCATACCAAGTCAGCATGAGAAGGACACAAAAGCACCTACTACTTTAGCTAACTAACTAGCATATTAAATAGAATGTTATAATGCTCAAGTAGGATTTAACACAGAAATGCAGTGAACATTTAAAAATCTGTAATATCATAATGTGTTTACACCACATTATAGCACTACATGTAAGTAATTATCTCAGCAGACATTGAAAAGTTATTTAATAATTCAACACCTATTTATGATTTTTTTAAGTTTTTAGGAAAAGAAGAGAGAACTTAACTTGCTTTTGGAATAGCTTACTTGCATAGATATACATTTCCCTTACCCTTGTTTGCCAATGTGTGAGCAGCTTTATATGATAATGTCAAGAAGTTACCCATCATTGCCTTGATCCTTCCCAGGCTTAGATGACTGTCCCACCTTAGCCTCTGGAGTAGCTGGAACTACAAGCGCATGCCAGCACGCCTGGCTAATTTTTGTATTTTTTGCAGAGATGGGTTTTTTCCATGTTGCCCAGGCTGGTCTTGAGCTCCTGGTCTCAAGTGATCTACCTCCTAGGCCTCTCAAAACTAGGATTACAGGTGTGAGCCACCATGTCTGGCCTAGTGTCAAGAAAACTTATAACAGATTGCTGCCCTTCCTTAAAAAAGACTATCTATGATTAAAATGATGTACTCGTAGGCCAAGCAAAAGAATTAGGAACCTTTGTCACTCTCATGGGATGTCCAGAGTATGTGCATTCTTTTCTGTACCTAAGTCATAGAGTTGTATTGAAAATTACATTTTAAAAGGGCCTTCCAAAAAAATACCCAGAATCTGGCCATTTCTTACCAAATGCGTCACTCCCACACTGATATGAGTGACTATCATTTCTCATTTGGCATATAATCAAAGTGACCAACCAAATCAATAGTGAAAGAATGTACTATTTAGAAAATGGTATTGGGATGAGAAGTCAGTATATTGAGAAAATTAAGTGGACTTTTCACTTCTTACCATATTTAAAAAATTAAAAGAGGCCGGGTATGGTGGCTCACGCCTGTAATCACAGCACTTTGGGAGGCCAAGGTGGACAGATCACGAAGTCAGGAGATCGAGACCATCTTGGCTAACACGGTGAAACTCCATCTCTACTAAAAATACAAAAAAATTAGCTGGGTGTCGTGGTGGGCACCTGTAGTCCCAGCTACTCAGGAGGCTGAGGCAGGAGAATGGCATGAACTCGGGAGGCAGAGCTTGCAGTCAGCCCAGATCGTGCCACTGCACTCCAGCCTGGGCGACAGAACGAGACTCTGTCTCAAAAAAAAAAAATTAAAAGAATAAACTATATAATTCTATTTACATAAAGTTCACAAAGCAAAACTAAAAGATGTTAAAAGTAAAAATAGTTGCAGTGATGGTTTTTAAAATATATTCACAAATTTTTTTGTATTTCTTTCTTTATGAAGTAGCATCTAATTCTCCTCCTCTTGAGTGTAGACTATACTTAAAGAATAGCTTCTAATAAATAGAATGAAGTGAAAGTGCAATTTCAGAGCCCAGGTCATGAAAAGGCACTACAGCGCCTATCTATCTCTCTATCCATCCATCTACCTATCTACCTATCTATTTATCCCTCTCCTACCTCACCCTGGGGAAGTTAGCTACCACATTGTGAGGAGCCCTAGGGAAAGGCCCATGTGGTGAGGGACTGAGGTCTTCTACAACAGTGAGTGAGGAGCTGAGGACTCCAGCCGACAGCCCTATGAGTAAGACTTCTTAGAAGCAGATTTTCCAGTTTTAACAAAGCCTTGGGATGACTGCAGCCCTGGCCAACAACTTCACTGCAATCTCATGAGAGACCTCAGCTCGAACCAACTAGCTAAGCTGTTCCTAGATCCCTGACACTCAGAAACTGTGAGATAATAAATGTTTATTATTTTAAGTCACTACATTTAAGGTTATTTGTTATGCAGAAATGGATAACTTACATAGTTGTTAACTTTAGAGAAGAAAGGGGAGTTAGTAAAGGAAAGAGAGCAAAAGAGAGACATATATTTGTAATGTCCTATTTCTTGTCAGTGGAGAAGAACATAGGCATGTTCATTTTGTGATAAATAATCAAGCTGTAGACTTAGAATTTGTGCAAAATTATATGTCTATATTTCAATACTAACCCAACCTGAAAGTTTTGCTAAATTCAACTATGACAGACAAAATATTTCTGTTCATCAGAAAGACCCTAGGCCAGACATGATGGCTCACACCTGTAATCCTAGCTTTGAGAGGCTATAGGTAGGTAGATCACTTGAGACCAGGAGTTCAAGACCAGCCTAGGCAACATGGCAAAAACCCATCTCTGCAAAAAATAACAAAAATTAGCCAGGCGTGGTGGCATGCGCCTGTAGTCCCAGTTACTCAGGAGGCTGAGGTAGGACAGTCGTCTAAGCCTGGGGAGGTCAAGGCTGCAGTGAGCCACTGCACTACCTCCTAAGCAACAGAGTGAGACCCTGTCTCAAAAAAAAAAAAAAAGAAGAAGAAGGAAGGAAGAGACAGAGAGAGAGAGAAAGGAAGAAAGGAAAGAAAAAAGAGAAAGAAAGCAAGAAAGCTAGCAAGAAAGAAAGAGACACTAAAGACAAAATTAACAGACCAGTGACTTTCTAGAAGATATTTTATCATTTCCAAGACTGACAATAGGTTAATATCTAAAATGTACAAAGAATTCTGTAATACAAAAAAGGCAAGGACATAGGAAAGCAGTAAAATAATAATAAAGCAATTTTAGAGTAAAGAAAATACAGTTAGTTAATAACTACATAAAGACATGTATAACACCACCAGTCCCAGAGAAACTCAAATAAAACAATAGATACCACTTTACACACATCCAGCTGGCAAAAAATAGAAAACCAAACAATGTCAAGTGCTGATGAGGATGTGCAAAGACAAAAATATCCTTGCACTGCTAGTAGAAATGCAAACTAGTACAGCCTTTTTGGAAAGTAATCAGGCCTACAGAGCTTGTACTCTAGAACTCTATCATTTCCTTCCTGGATATAGATCCACAGAAACTCTCATATAAATGCACAAGGAAACATGTAAATGATTATTAATTGAGCATGATTTGAAAGAGTAAAGAGTAAGAAGTAACCACCAGGGGAATTCATAAATAAAATTCAGTATACACATAAAATGGAAATTTATGCAGGTATCTGAGAAATAAACCAAATCTACATACTGCAATGAAAATGAAACTCAAATAATTCTTACCTTCAAAATAAGTAACAAAGCAAGATTTCTGACCAAATACCATTTCTGTACATTTAAAATGCACACGCAAAAATATCATGTACTTTCACTTACACATATGTGTAAATAAACATAAGAATAGTGAAATAGGCATTCATAAGACAAGCAAAACTGGGTGCCCTTGAGTGACTGATGGGAGCCTGGTGATATGAGATGAAGAAGAGAGAAAGTAATGAAATAAAACATAAACAAAGGAAATATTTTCTATGAACCAATGATAGTGAGGCATGAATTTAGGAGTAGATATGATGAAATTAATTCTGTGTCTCAGAGTGCAAAAGAAGAAAAGGAAATCTGAAAAGAGAATAATCCATTTATAGACTACCATGTATAAGAAACCTAGCTTCAAAGCCCTTTAGAACTCATTACCTTACAGCCTGAGCCCTCATGGTTTGTTTGTCAGTCAGCTTCTCTCCCATCAAGCGTAAGAGAAAACAAAGGTGCACTGGCCTCACCTGCAATGAGACTGTACTGGCTTCTATCAAAATATAATGCTTTCTGATTCTCTGCCCACATACCCATCTTCAAGAGGAAAAAACCCTTTCTGGAAATAGTAATATTTAAATTTAATAACTACCATTTATGGGGCACCTACTGTTTGTCAGAAACTGTGCTGGCACTTCACATGTGTTCTGCCAGTAAATCCTCACTACAATTTCAAAGTTAAGTTTCTTATGCATTTTATCAATTAGCAAACCAATGCTCAGAGAATTAATTAATTTCCCCCCAAACCATACAGCTAGCAAATAAATAAACTGAGCTTCCAGGTCTGTCTAGCTTTCTGCTACACTATGCTAACTCCACACTTGTCTTAGAAAAAGAAAGAGATACAAGTTCTTTGTCAACAGAAAAGTGTTGACATCATATGGCTATGGGATGCAAAGAAGCCCATGTTTAAGCAATATTTTTTTCAGTCTGTCCCCAGAATTGATGCATTTATGAAGATGGTCTTGGCCACAACCCCGCCAGCAGCCACTAAGAAAGTGGGGCCACGAGCAGCTGCTATACTGCATGTTTTCAGACACCCACCCCTTACTGCCTACACATAGCCATGGCATCTGCTGCATCAGGACATGGGGATGGAGAGCACCTCTACTCACTGTGCTGCCCCCACACTTGTGTGGGGAGCCTTCTTTGGAGCCAATTAATTATAAGATGAATTAGACTAAGAAGGACTAGTGCTCTGTCTCTGTGCTGACTGCTCATCAGCATTGCCATCCCCATTTGTCAAAATGGAGCCTGCTCACCCTCTGTCCAATCTGTCCTCTAGATAAATGATTTCTTCTCTGCCCCTCATCACCAATTTTAGAAACCAGTGCTGTTTACAAAATCCACTCTTCCTACCCGAAAATATCTGTTTCAGCACCAAGGAGAGAAACCCTCCATTTCTCGGTTGCATGAGTGGGAAAACATACCATTCTAAGAACTGTACCACGTTTAAGGAAAATGTCTTCAGCTGGTAAAAAGGGTCTTATAAATATTGTCTGATTATTCCTGCCAAATTGATCAACCCCTGCACTATTTTCAGGCCAGCTCATGAAATGAAAGCCATAAACACTAATGGATGTTTTAAGCAATCCCCGATTCTCTTAGAGTGTTCCAGTAGCACCTACCACAATGAATTGTAATTTTTTTTATAACTTCTCTGCATCCCCCATTAGATAATAAGCTCCTGGAAGGCAGAGATTGCAACTTCTACTTGGTTATTCCTAGCAACTTGCATCGCACTGGGCACATAAAGGCTGTATAAACGGTTGCTTAAATAAGTGACAGGTAGAGGCTGATGATAAGTCTAAATAAAAACCTAAGGGATGTATTAAGCTTCAAAACTAAAATCAAGGGCTAAATTCTACTATCACTTCCTCATTCCTCCCTTGGCTTGCTCACCAACTCCAAGCCTCTCCCATCCCATTCACTCAGGTTACCATCTTAAATCAAAAGAAGAAGAATAAAACTATTTTTATGCATCCAAAAATATTATCTAGGAGCTAACTGTGGCTGGAGGGATGGGAAAGGAAGCTCTATGGGCCAGGAGTTAAGGGAGATGATCTCACTCAAAGTAATGTCAACTCCCAAAGTCAAAAGAAAAATCGGAGAAAGAAACAAAAGCATGCAAGAGTGCTCAGTGAAAAATGCCAGGAGATCATCCAAAGCCAAAGGGGCCACAAGCAGGTATTGAAGTCAGAGTACAGAGTAAAGATTTAAAGTGGGTAAGATGAAAGCAAGAGCAACCATAAGTGGAGGTCATTACCTTTTAACATGAAGGCATGAAGGAGAGAGCAACTCATGCACCCTTTGTGGATGCTACATATCAAGATAGTTTAAGATAAAGTGAATACTAATCTCTCTTAGTGTAATTTTCCAGAATAAAATTCACAAATAACCCCTAGCATAAACATAGACAATTTCTAATCAAAGCACTTAGTCATTTCTGCCATCACTGAGTGGCTCCAGACATAATTTAACAGCAGTTCAAATTTAATATGACGTAAGATATTTTAAGAACTGTTCACTTGGTTTTACAACAACACAGAAGTTCTCTGTTCCAAAATGATGCACTTTTCCATGAAAAAAGTTGATGCTGAAGTATCTGATTCATAAGCTGTGATGCATACTGTTGCAGAGTGAAGCAGTATGGAAAAGAAATTCCACTCATTTTTTGGAAAGTCAGTTTCTCATGCATGCTCTTACTTTTCAACTACTCATCTGTGGAATGAATAAAAAGCATAATTTAATTGGATCAAATTTTTATTTTATTTCATCAAATATCTGCATTGAAAGAGAACAATTTACTGTATGGCCATATGGAAAGCTTTGACAGGTCATCCATCTAAGTGGCCATGACTCGCCATGATAATGTCAACTTTACTAACAAATAAACACTGATGATTGGAGAGGACCATTTGAGTATTCTGCTGCTAGTAAAACATACTTAAGAGTGGCTTAAGGAATTTATAAGTTAATTTTTCTCATGCATAAAGGAAGGCTCCAGGTAAGAAGTCCAGGGCTGAACTGGCAACCCTAGACTCATGAAGGACCCAGAGCCCTTCTATCTTTCTGCTCCACCAACCTTGGCTCATGGTCTCCATTCCCAAATCACCTTCCCACCCAAAATGGCTGACTGGGCTCTAATGATCATATCCAAATTCAAGATAAAACAGGTAAAGACCAAAAAGTTACACAGCTGTCAGTTCATCTTTTAAGCAGATTTCCCAAAAGCCCTAGAGGCCAAGTAGACTAAGAAGTGTAGACTTTAGCTGGCACTTTTCCAACCAGAACAAAAAGGAAGTATTGTTACTAAGGAAAGAGAAAATTAATATCAAGTACCTGAGTAGCCCCCATTATATGGACAAGGAAAATAAAGCTCAAAGTGTCTGACTGTCTTGCCCAACCTCAAAAAACTGGTAAGGATAGATTCCAGAAAAGTGTCATAGGCATCCATTCCTTTCTCTCTTCTGTCCTCCTAAAAGAACTTTGATTTTCTTCAGGTATTCACTCCTCCTACACACAGAGTCAAAGCTATTCATACATCTACCCTCAGAGATGGGCTTGATTCATTTAAAGGCCATCCCATCTCCCTTGCTATAATGAGCTCCAGACCAGTCACATGAAGTCAAATGAGTCAATTAGACACAGAAGGGGTTTTTCCATGGCTTCTGGAAGTTATTCTTTGATCTTTTCAGAAGAAATCCCCAAAAGCAATATTTTAACTCCCTCAATTATCTTATTAGTAGATATGAGGTCTCATTCTAGGGCAACCCTTCAATATCACCCATGTAAACAACATACAGGAAGAAGAGAAGAACTAAGAAAATGGCGGCTGCGTGTGGTGGCTCACACCTGTAATCCCAACACTTTGGGAGGCCAAGGCGGGTGGATCACGAGGTCAGGAGATTGAGGCCAACATGGTGAAACCCCGTCTCTACTGAAAATACAAAAATTAGCTGGGTGTGGTGGTGCACACCTGTAATCCCAGCTACTTGGGAGGCTGAGGCAGGAGAATCACTTGAACCCAGGAGGTGGAGGTTGCAGTGAGCTGAGATCGCGCCACTGCACTCCAGCCTGGCTACAAAGCGAGACTCTGGCTCAAAAAAAAAAAAAAAGGAAAATGGCAAGAAAAAAAATTGGAGTAAATGGATTAAATTAACATAGTGGGCCGGGCATGGTGGCTCATGCCTGTAATCCCAGCACTTTGGGAGGCTGAGGCGGGCTGATCACAAGATCAGGAGATCAAGACCATCCCGGCTAACACGGTGAAACCCCGTCTCTACTAAAAATACAAAAAATTATCCGGGCATGGTGACGGGCACCTGTAGTCCCAGCTACTCGGGAGGCTGAGGCAGGAGAATGGCCTGAACCCTGGAGGTGGAGTTTGCAGTGAGCCGAGATCATGCCACTGCACTCCCGCCTGGGTGACAGAGCAAGGCTCCATCTTAAAAAATAAAAAAATAAAAATAAATAAAATAAATTAACATAGTGGTCTACCTTACCTCTGGAGTCCAGGTAAATTTTCTTATTGTTTAAGATGATTTCGGTTTGGTGGCTCTTGTTGTTGTCGGTGTTTCAGACACACCTGGTTTGACACTGGTCCCTGACTGGTTGCCTCCAACATCCTGCATCCACATTCTTTCTATAGTGGAACCATTTTACTAACATCCTAGGGCCTGACAGCACTTGGAAGTATCATTAAAAAGGCCATGTAAGTAACAACAAGTTCTTCTTTGAATTTAGGCTTACCTTAAGGATACTTCCATATTTAGCTATTCACCACAGTAACTATAATTAAAGTTCCCTCTTTTTCTCTGTTTTCACAAAAAGCCATGTTTTCTTTCTCTACCAAAGCCTGGTATCATAGTAAAGGTCACAGCATGTCTTCTTTACCTCAACAATCATGTCAGCCTTGTTGCTTGACAGAGATCAGGCATCTCTTGACGTCCCATTGCTTAAGCCTGAATATATTTCTTATTGTGACTGATCTCTGGCTCCTGCATCATGTCAGTTGTCTCCTTAAATTGTTACTTTCTTGTGCATATTTATGGAAGCAATCTAATCGGTTGAAATTGATGCTGCTACATTTAAGGGGAGTTTGTATCATAAATACTATTGCAGCTTGAGTAAACATGCCATGGCCAAAGTCCACCAACAGGTTAACAACCATCAATGACCGCCTTTTCAGAATTGTATACAAGCTGTCTTTACTGATGGCTGTTTACACATCCAACAACGTTTGTTGATACCAATGCTTATCATTATTGAACTTTTTAAGCTTTTTTTTTTTTTTTTTGGCTGTGCTAAGTATTTTTGTGATGCATAGTTAAGAACAGGCCATTAGAGAACATGTGTCAACAAATGGACAAATACTGATGGGATTATTAATGAATTTTATCCAGTTGATGGTCATTTGCTGTAACAGAACATGCATATATAGATAATAATGTCTATAATTAAAGTTATTCATTTACGTCAGGAAGGGAGAAAGCATTCGATGTAATATTTATAAAAGTAAAGAACATTATCACATTTACTCAAAACGAACCTCTTTACATCTCAATTATCAATATAGTTTGCTATAGTCATAACTACCTATATAAAACAATGTACTTTAACCTCAGACAAAATCATAAGTTACATGTTTGGAGTTTGTTCTCTGGAGTCTGTCCTTACTCAATAGTTTTAAACAATGACTATTTTTTATAAAGGAAGAATGTCTTACCTAAACTTAAAAATAATATTTGGGCAGTAAATGTTAATAAATTTGCTACAAGCTATTCTGTTTTCCAACTGTGACCTGATTTGATTCTTTATTCAAAACACACACAACATGTTATATATGAGGGTAGAAACATAAAATGTTAAAACTTAATGGCAACTCAATAATCATCAAATACAACTCCCTTATTTCACAGAAAAAGAAGTTGAAGGCAGGAAGGTTAAGTGATTTGCCCAAGGTAATGAAGATGCTTAGCATTTAGAACCTACACCTAACTCTTGGCCTGTGATCTTTCTATTATACTAAACCACAGGGTTGGGTAATTACCACTGTTTATAAATGATTACAATCATCGTAAAATTTCATTCATTTGCACAATAACTACAGCTTTTATTAGAGTACAAAGTCTACTTGGAATTCCCAAGTGGATTGACATTTTTATAATGTTTCCAGGTCCAGAAACAAAGTTCTCAATTTCAACCTATAAAAATATCTAATTGTAAGATAGACTTTATGCCATGAATACAGATTTCAAAGAATTCAAATAGAACAAAATATATTTAGTACTAAAGCTATGTATGAATGTAAGATGAATGTTACTCAGCCTAGGTCCAATGATTCAGAGACACTTGCTCTGTCTTGAAAAATCATCATTACAGATGCTAACACTGAAGTATTAATTTATGAATTCACTGGCAAGTACAAATAAAAACAAAAATTGGCATATAAAGACCAAATTGATTTTCCAAATTTCTAAGAACCATTAAATTTTTTGGATTTTAAAAATGAAGCATAGCTATATTTCTAAAAAGAGGCCTTATAAAATCTTAAGAGGTAAAGACTACATTGATAAATTAACGTATTGATAGCTAAATGGATGGCTACTTGTTTGTATCCAAATTAATTTTATATCCAAATTATTCTGGTAATAGAAATAAATTTTAAAACATAAAGCCAAGCATGCTGACACTTACAGAGGTTCAGAAATCACTGTCTGGTTTTAAATATCTTAATGCCATCTCCAAATTTTCTTTAAGCATATAAAGAACTCTATTCAAAATGTTTATGGATATATGAAGCATAAAGAAAGCTTCCGAGATAAGGTGTTCCTATTATTGTCCACTTGTTTTACTAGTTACTGCAGGTAACCAAGCAAGTTATCATTTAGTAAGCAGATGCTGTGTGCCAGGCATCACTGAGCACTGTGTAGATACCAACTTATATAACCATACTCCAGATATTATGAGATCAGTGTTATTATCCTGTTTGTCATATGAGAAACCTGGGGATCAAAGAGGTTAATGATTAGCTCAAGGTTGCATGGCAAATTGGTATCTGTCTGTTCCAAAGCCCACACTTTTTACCTCTGGATATTCCAAGCAGAATAACTAGTGCAGTGCATTACACTGCAGAGCATAATCTCTCCCCACATGACACTGTCCTGGGATACTGAAAATGTTTCTAAAAATAACTCCTTTGATCACAGAGGCATCCATCTGGTCTTTCTCCAGCTATTCCAAAGTCATTGTTTCTTGTACTCAGCACCATATATCTAAAAGCCACTGCTGCTGCTTTTTTCTGCAACTGGAGGTTTTTCCTAAGCAAATCTACTGCTCTGAGTGATTGCTCTGAAATCTCTATTTCTCATTAAATTATGCTGGCCATGAAAAAAATAGTAACAACTTACATTTTCATTATAAACTAGAAACTGCTACTAAATTTCTGTTCTTTTCTTTGATCATAAAAACCTTGTGAGGTAGATAGGGTAAATATTATTTCCATTTATCTGATGAGAGACACTGAGTTTCAGATATGAGATGTGGAAGTTCCCCAAGGTCACAGAGATGCGATATGACAGACCCATGCCTTAAACACTGAATTCCGAATCCAATAATCTTTCTGTTATCCCTAACATCCTCCTACTGATGGCCCATGCCTGCCTGAAATCTCTTGTAGAATGAGGATAAATAGATAATATCTCAAAGAAGATAAGAAAAAGAAGGAGAATACAGTGATACAAACCTACTCTGGTGGGCTTTGCTTGAAGTTGCCTCCTCCATATTCAGCTCCCATTCCTTGGTAGCTACCCCATTTTACTCACTACTCATATGTTTTAGAGGAAACTAATAACAAGTCTGCCTTCAGGGATAGGTAGACTATTAATCAGCATAATTCAAACATCTGGTTAGAGCTTTTGGTTTGGAGGGGGTATATAACCTAATCCAGGCCAAAGAGAGTGGAGAAGATGTTTGCTGGGAACCCTTTTTTTCTTCTTTTTCTTTTTTTATGGCACTAAAATAAAAACATTTTCACAAAGACAAAATTAATTAGGACACTTAACATCTTCATTAAGAGTTTTGTACTCCAGCGAGGTGGCAGGTTGAGCTAAGGGGAGTTGGGAATCAGGTATGATATTTTGCCAACTAATGGCAAGAAAACTGATGTCTGTTAGTTGACTCCAGACTGTATAATTGACTCCAGTTGATGTCATCTAAGAGCTAATAAGATCGTATGCAGAAGAAAAACTCGATAAAGTATAAAGCACTGAAGAAATGCAGAGTGGTGCTATAAGAAAAAAATTCATTCATTATTATTATCAATATGGCAGTTCTTAGGGGTGTCAAAAATCAGGCAATACACTTTTTGTCCTTATTTACACATGACATTAATGGGGTCAGGTAAGAATCTCTAAGCACAAGACCATGATTATTATGCAAAATGATTTGGGAATTGGATAACTTATGACTGCATTCTATTGGATAGTAACTTCAAGAAAAAGAATTCCATGGTCAATAAAGTTTGGAGAATGTTTTCACCTGATTAGGATCTTTTTCTCCTTCTTCTGGTAACATGTCCCAACCCCACTCCCACTCCATGTGATTTATGTGATACTAACCCCACCTTCCAGAACTTTGGTGGGCACAGGATATAAATCAGACAATTATCATATTCCATTTCCCTGAACTTAGTGATTGCTTAAGGAATGGGCAAATGACCCCAGTCAGTCCAATGAGAGTCAGCTCTGGACTTGTGCTAGAACTGTTGGAAAAGAGGTACTCTCCTTCCACTGGAGGTGTTAATCTGCTTTTTTTTGTTTTTTTTTTTTTAAGTGAGCCCAGAGCCATTTGCCACCTTAGAGGAGAGTTTGACTAAGGATGAAGCTAACTCAGAAACAAACAGAGCTGAGAGATAAAGGCAGATACCTAATCATGCTCTTTCAGCACCTGGACCCAGCTATGCCTGAAGTCCCTGACCTTTCCATTACATGTGCCTCCAATTTAGAGGACCATTTCCAGGGAAGACTAAAAAGTCCAGGTCACAGCCACATTCCCCTCACTGCCCACTCAATTATAGACCACATTAAGACTGGCAAACTGCTGGACAACAACCGTCCTCCTAGCTCTGTGTACCCTTCATTCATACACAAAACCCCAGGGCCTACACCACAGAAGAATTTCTCAGTTCTATTAAATGACTCAGGGTTTTAGGTAGCTCTACTCCTCCTCTTTTTTCTTTTATCACAAAGGCTTAGCCTGGCTAACACACACATAGTAGGCTCTCAGGAAATGTTTGTTTGATGTCTGTTGAACAAACGGCCACAGGGCAACTGTTGAGAAGTTCTCTCTGCAGAATGCATAGGTCAGATTCTACCTTTAATTTTGTCATTCAAAGTTTATTTTGGCTAAGTTAGTCAATAAATGACTGAAATCTATGACCTTCCTGAAGAGCATTTGCCACCTAGTCAGCACCCAATAAGTGTTAGCCATATAATTTTTGTTTTTAAAGTCTTTGGTTTCACACCATTTAGGATGGCTATTAAAAAAAATACATGTTAGCAATGATAAGGAGACATTGGAATCCTTGGGCATTGCTGGGAGAATCGTAAAATGGTGCAGCCAGTGTGGAAAAGAATATGACAGTTTCTCAAAATATTAACCATAGAATAATCATATGATTCAGTCATCCCACTTTTTGGTATATACCCAAAAGAATTGAAAGCAGGATCTCAAAGAGGTATTTGTACCCCTATGTGCATAGCAGCACCATTCACAATAGCTAAAATGTGAAAGCAAGTCAAGTGCCCAACAACAGATAAATGGATAAACAAAATGTGCTATTTGCACACAATGGAATATTATTTAGTTTTAAAAGGAAGAAAATTCTGACACATGCTGCAAACATAGATGAACCTTGAAAACATTACGGTAAGTAAAGCAAGCCCATCACAGAAGGACAAATACTGTATGATTACACTAATATGAAGGGCCTAAAGTAGTCAAATTCATAGAGACAGAAAGTAAAATGCTAGTTGCCAGGGACTGGGAGAGAAGGGTATGGAAAGTTTTTGCTTAATGGGTACAGAACTTCAGTTTGGGATGAAGTTCTAGAGATGGATAGTGGCGATGGTTTCACAATAATGTGACTATAGTTAATGCCACTAAATTGTATCCTTAAATATGATTAAAAATGGTAAACTTTGTGTTATATATATTTTACTACAATAAAATTGTTTTAAAATTAAGTCTTCTAGCCTTCCTATTGAGGCTGAAATAACATGCACCAAAAGAATGAAATGCTTTTTAATTAGCATCTTTTTCTGTTTGTCCACATAAGCATTTCCTCCACAAAGATCCTAAACTAGCCCTAGCCTAATCAGGGGAGACCTCTGGCCACAGCAGTTATTTCCATTTTTCACATCATTGGTGGTTATTTTGCCATCACTCTTCCAACCTAGACCAACATATACACAATATATATAATTTGAGATTCCTTTATCTTGTAATCCACTTACCAGATATGAAAAAAGGCCTAATTCTCAAAATATATTCAATGCTATTCCCTTGATAGACACACTGCCTTTTCAAAGCCAGAGGTCATGTCACCTTTCTGAGTAAGGCAAACATTCTATCATTGCTCTCTTTCACACTGACCCAATTTCTCTTGTTTGATAAGGATTCCCAACCAGCTGAAAGCATTAGCATATGAGAGATGACCCAAGTTTTATGCAGAGTTCATTTAATAAAGAATCAGGGATGGCAAATCTTACTTATAGAATTCAAAGGAGATGGGTATTTGCTTGTTAAACCAGCCATTGTCAGCATCTGTTCTGGACAAAACAATGACAGCCTTTAAGCTATTGTGAGATAGGATTAAGTTTGCCTCATTTCCCATTATAGTTTAAAGTACTTCCGATGATACCTTAATTGATACAAATGTTCCCAACATTAAACATAGTGAACACAGCAGCAGCCAATAAAGCCAGGGTATGGGGATTAGGGAATGGGGAGTGAGAAGGAAGCCACAGACATTTTTATTGCACTGTCATCATCATCATCCTCACCATATCTTCAAATCAGAAGATGGAGATCCCAAAGAACATGCAGAGAAGCACAACACTGGAAACAGACCTCGTGGATGAAGCAAACCATTGCAATGATGATTATGGGACAGTAAGTGTAAGTGAAGCCATCCTTATTTCTTATAATGGCATAATCCATGAAATAAGTGCCTCCTATTTGATCACAATTTTAATAGATAAAGCCTCGATTGAATACCAATATATAAACACAGATTGAAATAAGAAATAATTTAGTGTGCCTCCTCTACAATAACACAGGGCTTGGCTGGATGATTAAATGAGGAATCTACAGGATCAGACCTGGAAGGCAGTGAGCTGGTGTCTGGTTCAGGACTTGGTCAAAGAGGCCAAGTCATGTTTCAAAATCCAGGAGTTTGCTAGAAATTCCTCCAAGCCACATGGGGAAGATGACCTGGACCAAGCTGACCACAGAGCTAGGGGCCAGAGTCCAGAATGATTGGCCAATCTGAAGACAGGTGGCTGCAGGGAGCAGCTACTCAGGTGGAATGACTGAATCCTCATATCAGAACACACTGGTTTTCGCCCTCAGTCATCTTAAAGGCACTCTTGGTACCTGAAACAATAAGACTTAGGAAACCTTAATGCAAGGATGATTAAACACTACAACATTTTGTGGAAGGAGGGGGAGTAGGGCAGCCAAGCTGTGAACTCTCCTTCCCTGAGGATTCTGGAAGGAGACATCCTGGTTGATGATTTAGGTCTTCCCCAGCTGGGACCTGGAGGAGATAAAGACTGGAACTTAATTCCTGTTTCTAAATTGTCTCATCATTTTCATCTAATGTACTGGAACACTTTGCAGAGTCTTTGGTCTTCTTAAGAGCTTTAAGAAATGAGTAAAAAAATAAAATACTCTCATTTTCTAAAAGTCATTGAATTAAATAGGAGAAAGCTTATACACAGCAGGTGAATACATATCTTTAGAAGGCTGACAATAAAATAATCACTGTTTTACACGATGGATGCTTACTCAGAGCGTAGCGATTTGCTTATCCATCTCCTAAAGGGAATTTGCTGCGGACATAATTGGCCCACTACCAAGTATAATACATTATGCACTTGGTGGCAATCACATGGACTGCCAAGACTGGAGCAAGCTAACAATCCCATTAGAGTGAGCATCATTTCTTTCCCTCCAATTCTGTCTGTGCTTGTTGACATTTTTGTTTTGTATTCAAAGCTGTTGCTGTGAATGCTTCCTCAACAATGTGACCTTTCATACATGCAAAGTTGGCTTAAAAGGCTACTTCTTGACCTGTGGTCATTTCCTCATTGTCTCTTGTTGTAATGAGTCATTGGCTGGTGGCAATGGCCAGAAAATGAAGTTTGCAACACCTGAGGCTCGGGAACTCTGCCAGTGGGCCCAGGGTCTCCTTTATTCAGCATGAGCTGGCACTCTTCTCATTGCTGCACTCAGTGTGGCCGCTCACCAGAACTACTCCCTACCCTGCCCCGGGAAAACCACACAACTCTTGGCTTGTAGTGTTGAGTCAATGGAAGAGTTGTTTGAAGAAACCTATTCCCATTCCCTCATTTTTGTGAAGAATAAATGAGACTCAGCATGGGGAGCTGCCATGGCTGAGCTCACTCAAGTAGATAGTGGCTGAGCCTATTTAGTCCCCTTCATATCCATCTTCTTATTGTTAACAACACAAAGAATAGTCATCAATATTGAACAATGATAACCACCAGGCACTTTATGCATATTATTTCCAAACTTCACAATTCTACAGTCAGGCATTATTATGCCCTCTCAGAGGTTAGTACACTGAGCCTCAGAAAACTGGAATGATTTGCCAAATAACACATCATTAATTCATAGTTGAGTTTGGATACAAACCTAGGTCAGTTTGACTCCCTGCTCCTTCCCACCATGATCTCAGCAGTATATGGGACAATTCTAGACCCCATCACTCTCAGGCTCCAGAGAACGACTCCCCAACACCCATGCTAGCTGTGAATATCATATCCTCCTACAGCCCAGACAGGGTAAACTTCCAAGCATCTATTCCCTTCTATACTGTGAGATAGGTCTCTTAATATATTGCAAAGTTTTTCCTAATGTTTATTATAGATTTTTAATTGTACGTTTGGAATGCCTGCTTGATCATATCCTTAGATTATTTACTGCAACCATTGCTCTTATGTCAGATATACTGACATAAGAGACGTTTTCATGTGGTGAAAAAGAATGGGGAGTGGAATCAACTTGTAGCATGATGGGAACTCATGTATACATCTCTCCTCAGTGGAAGACTGTGGCATCTCATGTAGTAGCCACTATAGAATTTGGATGTTTCAGCTGTTTGTCTGCACATGCCTAATACAGCAAAGCCAAATCTCAGGAATTCCAATGTCAATGTGAACAAGTGGCCCATTCTCCAGAGCCAGTGCTGCCTGGCTCCCTTTCTTAGACTTCCTGGGAGAGATTCTAAATTTGCAGTCTGGCATTGATCCTGATTTATTCTCTATTTTGACCTTAAAAAATTATATAAGCCCTCTGAGCCTCTGTTTCCTTGTGTGTAAAGCAGGATGATAACAACTTGACAAGAATATTATGAGTACAAAATTATTTAAATGTCTTAATACAGGGCCTAACACTTAGTAGGCCCTCAAGAAGTGATAGTTTTCTTTCCTTCCCTTTTTCTCTGCCCCCTCTCCCCTGCAATCACCCCGACCACTTTCCCTGACTGACCTACCTCTTTTGATGCCCCTGCTGTCACCAAAATGACATTCTGCATTCCCGCTGCCATTTGCCTGCCTTTTCCCTATGTATGATGAGAACTCGGGGAAAAATGGACAAATGGTGGCCCATTGTTCTGGGAAACTTAGTTAGGAAAGATTAAGAGAAGAGTAATTGAGAGGACAGAATCAAGGACTGTTAGTGATGGAAAAAAAAAACCTATATGGTAGAGACTTTTACCGTTTACTTTATCTGATTCTACTCTCATTACATGTAGAAGAAAGTATTATTCCTCCCTACTCACCTTGTGATTGCAGTGGGGTCATATGAGCCATCCTGGACTATGAGTTGTGGGCCATGGTGATGTGCATCACTTTCAGCACAGAGCATTTAGTTGCTGGTACAAGGTCCTTCAGCCCTGGTCTTGCCACCCAGGGTGAACTCTGAAGCGTTAGGCTGAGACAGGACATCATAAGATAGTATTGAGTGACTACATGGAGCGGAGCCCACAGTGACTGACAGTGGGTGCATAATGTGAACAGTAAATAAACTTTTGTTATTTCAAACTACTGAAAGTTTGAGCATGTACATTACCACAGACTAACATATTGAATACAACAGTCCAAGTATTGGCTTTTATTTTGTATTTACACAGAATAACCTATAGAATATAGCAGTCTAAGCCTTGGCCTTCATGTTGTGGCCCCTTGAAAAGGGGTGGGTTTTTGGCCCTAGTAAGCAAGATATTTTACAGATCTTTTGGGAAGGAGCACCCAGACTTGGAGACAGATCTGTGAAATGTAAGTTTTAGCTCTGGCTCACCTACCAACTAAATAGTTCTAATACAAAGCTATTTCTGTATTGTTCATGGCTGTATCCCAAGTGTCTAGAATATGTTGAATAAATAATCAACACTTCCACATTCCACTTGTTAGAACAAGAAAACTAACCGAGGTTAGTCAAACCCTCTGAGTCCTAACTTTTCTCATCTTTAAAATAAGAGCTAGTATCTCCCAAAATATGGAAAATACAGCATCAAAGGCACTTGCTATTCAAAGATCCTTGCTACTCAAAGAGTAGTCCAAGAATCAGGAGCATCAGTGTCACTGGGATTGTGCTGGAAATGCGAGCTCTTGAGTCCCACCCCAGTCCTACTGAATCTAATTATGCATTTTTAACAAGGTTCCCTAGATGATTTCTATGCACGTTAGAGTTAGAGAAATATTGATTTAGATGGTACTAGGACTCAACATTAAATGGCCTGTAATCACCTAGTGGGAAGGTTATCCCTTTTCCACTTATCATTCAATCTTTTTGGTTACTTTATGGAGAAAGACAGTTTGATGTCAATGTCTTTAACACCTCACTAACAGCTGCTAATTTCCTTTTTAACAAGGAGAAAGCAAGCCTTCGGTTCCTGGGAAGGCAAAGGTATTTATCTTGACTATAATAGCATTGTTTTATTCTCATTGTGTTTGTTTAAATAGTTGCCTTGTATTTATGGCAACTGATATCAGTTTTCTATTTAAGGTAGTGATGAAAACCTCTTTAAAATAAATTAATTTAGGAAAGTGAATGTAATTAAAGGAAGGAAACACATAATAAATGGGAAGAACTGTTTGCTTTAACGATTCCTTCCATGTCAAGGAACTCCATTGGTTTGACAGTCCTGACCTCTGTCTTGACTCCATAGTTTCACTGATTAGGCAACTTTATTTACTCTGCATGGGGTAGGAGTGGGGAAAGTGCTATATTCTATTGTAAATTTAGGAATAAAATGAGCATGCTTAGGTCAGCATCCTCCTTCTTCCTTTTGAAATTTAAATACCTAGAGGATAATTTACTCATAGATAATTTGCTTATAAATTTCCAGTCCAATTGGTAGGATCCTAGCAGCAGGTTGTTTGTTTAATAGATCTTTATGGTGTGCCTATGGTAATGCTAGGTTCTGGTTGTGTGTCTTATTTTCTGTCTTCCTGCTGCTCAAAGGTACTGCTCCCTTTGGAAAGTTCCAGACGAGCCTCTAGCCAGGCTATCACAGTGTCTTTGGTTTCTCAGGTTTTGAATCTGCTCAGAGGCAAGAGTCAGGGGCACTGATGAGCTTGGGGTCCTTCTAGAAGAAAGCATCAGGTACTCATTTTCATGAATCATGAGACAAAAATGGAGAATTGTTTTTAAGGCATCTGGCCAATTCCCTCATGGCTTAACCACCATCCATTCAAGCAGGTCAGTCATGAGGGATTTTAGTCGTTACCCTTTTAATGACCCTATTTTGGCAAAAGGCCCTAGATAAGAGTGCTCTGCTGCTTCCCTGGAGAGTAATCGCTTTTGTCTCTGAGCCCCACATTTGCTTATGTTAGTTCTCTATCACTTAAGTGGTGCCCCTTTACTCTTCATTATATTGTTCTGTTGTATTTCCATCATGATACTTATCTCCACTGCTTTGTTTACTTGTTTGTGGTCTGACCCCCTGCTCTAGACTGTAAGCTCAAGGAGAGCAGAACCATTTCTGTATTGTTCATGGCTGTATCCTAAGTGTCTAGAATATGTTGAATACATGAATCAACACTTCCACATTTCAACTGTAGGAACAAGAAAACAAGGATGTGTACTTTAAAGATCTAGTTAGTAGTCACTTTGTAAGATCATTGTTGAACTCTGGAACTTCACCAATTGTTGCGGCTGTGCATGGCTCTAAATAATTAAATTTTTGTCTGCTGCATTTATATTTCTTTGTTCATTAATGCTCTACTTACAGCTGGAAAGTGTTTGCAGTGGCTTATGATAAAGTCAACAATCATCATGCAAAAGACAAGAGCTTATAAGTAAGGGAGGACCCAAGGGAAACCTTTACAAGAAATCATTGCTAAGGTATAACTTTCTACTGCAATCTATGCAAGATCGGTTCTCTAAGTTTCCTTTTCTGCTCTTCACTGGGTAAAGTTGCCTTGGACATTTAAAACTGCTTTGAAAAAATATATATTCAGAGTCCTTGAGCAATTTCTGGTGAAACTGTTCAAAATTTTCTGAAATTTATGCTTGTCCAGGTAACTGCTCATAAAGGCATCATGGCCAAATTAAATGATTTCATGCTTATTTTTCCCTTTCTCATGTTTCTTGATGTCAGTGGAGAGGTAGGCAGGAGTCAGAAGCAGCATTTTACCTAGCCCAGACAATTTTTTCAGTGGTATATATAGAAGCATGGTTGACACTTTCTGGTCTTTTAGTCTCCCTAAATACAAAGAGGTCCAGATTAGCAATTTCCAAAGAATATTAAGGGGAAGTACACCAGGAGATAGGATTGGAATCTGCTTAAGGTTGGAGGGTTCCAGGAGTTCCTGGTTTGTGTGAGGATTTCATTGAGTTTATTGGCAGTGGACTAGAAACACATATCATCATTCAAGCTGCTGATGAATGTCTAGAGTTTGTTCCTAGAATCCAAATTTTTTTTCTTTGAAATCGAAGCCATTTTGAATTACCAACCCAAGTCAATTTTACCTAGCAAAGGCAGAAAAGTCTAAACCCTGCTGTCTTGAAATATAGGCACAAACTTTTCTCAGATAGTAAATATTCATAACTATTGTGATTGTGGCTGGTGTTCCAGAAATAAAAGGCCAGGGAAATATGGAGATTTAAATCAGAAATTTATCCAGAAAAAGGTGAAACAAAGAATGCAGTTCTCCAATAATCACATCCCCTGAGCTACAGGCATACATGCAGACTTAGAGCAACACACCAACATTTTAGTAGCTGCATATTCCATGACAAATCCCATCTTCCCATCTTATCACCCTCATAATTCATTTGGACTAGAATAGACTCAGGGTTTTCTTCAGCCCATAGTATTCATACTCTTTACCTTTTACAGTGACTTCTCATGTGCTATCCCATCTAAACATCACAACCATCTTATATAGAAGGCAGGTAGACATTCCTTTCCCATTCTGAAGATGAGAGTCTGACAATTTAAGTGATTTGTGAAAAATCATATGATAAGTAGCTGGCAGAACCTGCACTGAGATTCCAAATTTCTGATTTTTTAACTTTGCACTTTTCCTACAATGTCTCACAGCTTCTTGGTGATCCCAGGAGGTCTAACATATCCTGCAGAACTACTCAAAGCTTAAAATATGGGGATATTGTCAGGCTTAGATGCTCATCGAAGGCAGTAACAAGCTTGAGGTAGGTGGACTAACCAAGACTGTCCTGGCAATGATCAAGCAACTTTCTGGGAAGAGCCCAGGGCAGACCCACAAAGTAGAGCTAGATTTGAACTGCTCCACCCTAGAGGAGTATCAGTCAGCCAGTATTCTCCCCAAACACAAGCCCAGTGAATTCATTTCCAAGGATAGGAGAGTTACATTTTGTTGCCTCCCATGTGTTTTGAGGGCTTGGGCCAAAGTGCAAGAATTTATGTAGATAACTTTCATCCAAATCAGTCTACTCAATGCTTGTTAAATAATTCATTCGGTGATGTGGCCAAGCATGCCTGGGTTGGTCCCATCTAGTCCCAATCCTTTTGGGACATAACCTGGCTCTAGGACACTCATCTTAAAGGAGCTAATACAAAACAGAAACCTTATCTCACTCTTGTCTCCGTTTAGACTGGTACTTGTCTAGCCTGACCTCACAGATGCCTCCTTCCATGTTTAAAAGATGCTTTCACTGTATTAGCACACATCACATCCTTCTTGCCTTGTGAAATTTATTTTAACAAAGGTGGGGGAAAAAGAACTCTCCTTTATTGAGCTCCAAATACCTGTCCAACTCTAGGCTAGGCAATTCTAAGAACATGATGATTTCTCAATCTCATGACAATACTGCAAGGTGGTTATTTCACAGACGAGAGAAGAAAAGCTAGAAAGTTAAATGCTCCAAGGTCATACAGATTGGAATCCTAATGGCTCTTCAAATCTCAAGTCCATGATCTTTGCACCCATAAGATGTTGTGAACCCAACGATAAACTTAAGCTTTGAAGACAGAGGTGGGTCTTGTCTTCTTTAGGAGGAGAGGAGAAATCAACCTCTCTCATTTTTTCTTTCCTGTAGGGCTCAGGGATGTGGAAGTTTAAGAGCAACGAAGGCTCCGCAGAGGATGAGGGAAGCTTCCAGAGGGCAGGAAGGAGGTCTGGACAGCCCAGTCTAGCAGGGGCAGAGCTGCGGCAGATGCCTTCCCAACGCACAGACATTGCAGAGTCCTGCTGGTCCCTGCTTTCCCAGGGCAAAGAACTGCCCCCATCCACGGCCCCCTCAACCTCCCTGCAGCCTGACATAAGACACTGGAGGTCACAACTGGAGGCTCAGAAGGCCAGCGAGGAGTTGTGAGCGGCAGACAGAGGGGAAGGCAGGGGGGCCAGGTGGGAGGTGGTCTGGTGCCAGGCTTGGGCCCAGTATGTAAGGGGTTGGGCAGGCCATGTGACTCCAAGGAGGCGGAGACAGGCGAGCTGGAGGGAGGACGAGCAGGCACGGGGAGGGGTTCGGGGGGTGGGGGCCCAATCTGAATAATTGAGGAGCTGTTCAGCAGCAGCGGCTGCCTCCTGCCTTCCTTTGCCGCCACCACCACTTCCCATCCCAGCTAGAGAGACAGCTCCGCGCAGTAAGTGCGGACTGCCAGCCACCAGCCTTGGCAGCCAGCTCGTCGCCTCCAGCCCCGACCCCGGTAAGTGAACGGCCCCCTTCGCTGCCGTTTGTCCCCCTCCGCGCCCCCCGCGCCCCAGCGGGACCCCTGCAACTGGGATGGCCGCCTCTCCCGGAATGACCCAGGGAGCCGGAGTCACCGGGAGCGGGGGACCAGGAATATGGCGCGGAGGCCCAGGGCGCCCTCCGAGAAGGGGTTCCCTGGAAGAACCGAGGAGGTGGGTCGGGCTCTTTCCTGCTCTGGCCCGGAATGAGGCCCCGACTGCCCGCGGTCTGGGGGCACCGGGCTCTGACTCGCGGGAGCTGCCGGGCGGGGCGGGGGCCAGCGCGGCTCCGGCGCCGCTAGAGCGGGAGGCAGAAGGGGAGCCGCGAGCGGAATGCGGGCAGCCTAGGTCTCGGCAGACGCCGGGCCCGTCCTGTCCCCCGCCTTGGCGCGCACCCCGCACGGGCAGCTCCGTTCTCCGCCTCGGACCGAGACCATGAAACGGAGACGCTTTTCCGGCCGCAGACTCCGGGGAGGTCGGGAGCAACGTCTGCCCTTTTACCTGGGAGCAAACTCCTCAAAGGGACTCCCGCCGAGCCCAGCACCCCGACCAGGATGGTGGCGCCCCGAGGGGCGTCTGTCCCCGGAGAGTGGTGACTCTCCCGGGAGCGGCGAAGAGGACGTGACGGGAGCGGTGTCCAGGGAAGCTCCCTGCCCAGAGCCGGCAGCCCCAGCAAGGGGAGCTCTCCTGCACTGCTTCAACCCTCAGTCTCCTCTCTTCTCCCATTCCAAAGCACATCAGCTCCCCTCTAATCCAAGAGGGCCAGGTTAGGGCTGCGTGGCCACGCGGGATGCAGCCCCCACCCTCCTTCTCTCTCCTGTGTCACCCTGCCCCCTCCCCAAATGAGTATTTTATATTGCGATTGAAGAGTGAGCAAAGCAAAGGCGAGAAGAGATGCAGGAAGGCTAGAGCAGCGGGGCTCGCTCCTGTTCTGGCACTCCTCATCCCCCCACCTGTGTGAAGCTCGTTTCCTTGAGATTTTGAGCGGAGACACTCAAAGGAACTGGCTCTGGCGAAGGGATCCCCGCCTGAGTGTCGGTGAACGTCACTGGCCCGAATTGCCCAAGGGCCGCAGGATGTCACCCTGCCTCCCCCTAGGTATAGGGTCTAGGAGAGCGCTGGGGGCAAGGTAGCTCTCCTCCTCCGACTGAGTGCAGGGAATGGCGCTGTCCGCGGTGCTGAAAGTTCTCAGAGGCTGGGTGCTAATACCGCCAGGGCCCACATTCCCTGCGAGCAGAAACTGCGTTAGAACCCTAAAGGGTTCTAAGCAAGCGACCTAGAGAAACAGGAGAAGAAGGGGCTTTGCCTTTCCCGGTTTTCTGCTTCCCCAGGACTCCGCTTGGGAAAAGGTTCCCGGCTTTCCTGAGTGGAAGAGCAGGAAGCGGGTGTCACTTCAGGATCCAGTTTTGCTAACTTCGGGAGCTTCCTCGTTCTACTTCCTATACCTGAGCAGTGAGACTTCCTGTCGGTAAAGTGTTGAAAGGCAGTTAGGGATGCTGTTTTGATAATAAACATTTCTGTGGCTTTCAGGAATCAGAGAATTGTTAGGCTACACAAAGGAGGGGCTTCATGGTTGTAGCTTTTTCCTCTTCTTAGAACCCTTCTTTCCCCACTGCATGTTATTTACATGCTCTAGATAAAGATCGCTAAGCAGCCCTGTATGTTTGTTTCTTTAGCTAGTCTTTTATATTATGGGCAAGATGGGGAAAGGATTGAGCCAATTTGGGGAGGCCTATTTGTACTGAACACCTCTATCTGCTGGGTAATAATATTTCATTTAAACTTCACAATAGCTGCCAACCAAAAGTATCACACAGAGAAGGAAACAGAAACTTGATTCCAGAGATTGGATTCAAAATCAGATCTATTTAACTCAAAGTCCAAGCCATTTTCATGCCTTCATTTTGGTATTTGGCTCTGAATAGCTGTTATTGGAGATTATAGCAGGAGAATGACAAAGGAGGGAGGCCTGCTCTTCTCTTTCACACACTCTCCTCTCTTCCAACCCTTTTCTCTTTAATCCGTTCACCCACTCACTGTCATGCACTCCCACCCTCCCAACTGCTTTTGCATGCTGCTTGAGATACCACTGTTCACACAACTTCAGCTCCAATATTATGGAAACAAGTTAGAGAACTAAACCAGCAGCCTTTTCTAAAAGAGTAGCAGGGCTTCAGGAAGTCTGGAGAACTAGAGTCCACATGTACTTTCATATTTAGAATTATACTGTTGAATTTTAGAACTAGAATAGCTTTGAATATCATTTAGCACCATCGTTTTACAAGAAAGAAAACTTGGAAACCAAAAGATGGTCATTAGTCTAAGTCACATGATTGAAAAATTAGAACCCAGTTAACTTGATTCCAGGCCCAGGGCCTTTCCCACTATTTCATGGTGTCTGAAATACTCTTCCATACTGCTTTCTTTGATTATCTTTGACTAAACGTCAGCATCAGTGAACTAAATTAAACAACATGCCAAAAATACAAACACTTAACATACAAGCATTCCTCTTACCTTTCTTCCAACTCCTTTGTCTTCCAGCTCTTTCCCCTCTGGTCCTACTATTCCAGTGTTGTCTAACCCAACATACCTGGGAGATATGACCCACCTTCCTCAGTAACAGTTTTCTCTGAAGCAGCAATTCACAAATGGGAATGGTAGTGTGTCATTTCTTTACTTGCCCTATCTTGTCTATATCTCCTCTTCTATGACCTATTCCCCAAAAAATAATTTTCCCAAAATTGGTTACCCTAAGCAACTGCCCATGTTCTCATAGGGACTGGGAAAAGGCCCTAATAAGACCTAAGGATTTTTATAAATAAAGATCATTATAAGTGCTAATATCTATGAAATGCTTATCATATGTGAGGCACTATGTGAAGTTATTTCATCAATCATTTTACTGAATTATCACAATTCTGTCAAGTAGGTGGCTCCACTAAAGATGGTCCTAGGATTCTAGTTCGCTCTAACATACAGCAGAACCTGATGTTCTGTTCATTTCCTCTTTCTTCTCTTTCCAGCTCATAGTAAAGTCTCATCTTCATCAATTGGATTTTTGTATTTAATTGATAGTTCCATCCTGCTCCAAAACATAGCATTTAGAAATTCAAATTCAGTTCAAATGACACTGTTTTGCTCTCTCATCTCTTAATATTTACCAAACATATTCTCCCCATTTGTTATCTCTTATTTAAAAATTCCCATATGGCTTCTTATTGATAATGTCAACATTCTGCTTCAAACCTTCTCTAGAGCCAATTAAGGTATAATTTGTAATTAAATACATAACTTCTATTGTACCTTCACTAGGTGATCTGTCAAGAATGCTATTGCTGAGGTGCTCTGGGCCCTGTGAACCAGAACCTTAAACTGTCTAGAACTGCTCTGTCCAACATGGTAGTTGCTAGCCACATGTAACTATTTATAATTAAATTTTAATTAAACTTTTTAAAATTAAAAATTTAGCCCCCCAGTCACACTAGTCATATTTCAAGTGCTCAATAACTCTATATGGCTAATGACAACTGTGTTGGACAGGGCAGATATCAGAAAATTTTTATCATTTAAGAAAGTTGTGTTGAAAAATGCTGCTTTAGACAGTACTAAACACACCCTCACAGCAACCAAGAACTAGGAACTGGGAAGAAGTAAGGACCTACTCTTCTTTGAATCTTCTGCCAAGAAAGAAAGAAAAAGCCACTTATGCCTAATACATCACCAGTAGCCCAAAGATACCTAGGACAATTAGGCTATGAAGGAGTGTGCATGTCTTACTTAAGGAGCTGGTAGCCTCTGGAGTTTGCTTCATATGAATTCTATGTTACTATAAAGTAAAATATTCCATGAATGAGGTTTGCTGGTTTCATGAATTTTGACTTAGATACAATCTGAAAGTTCCAATTCAAAATCCAAGTTTATAGATTACATGTATATGTAATAACATGTGTGTGTGTTTATCTTGTCTTAGTAATCATAGTATGATAGACATGGAAAGAATATAAGACTTGGAGTCAGTAGTACAGGTGTCACATACTACTTGGTGACATTATGAGGCCCTCTAGAGCTCCATTTCTCCATCTCTAAGATGTTGATGAGAATTGCCATAACTATCTCAAAGGACTATTGTAAAACTCAAAGTGTAGGTATACGAAAGTACTTTGTAAGGAGCATGATTGAATCTGCAATGGTTTATTATTTTATATAGATATGGTACAATGTACAAATAGGGTAGTTCAGGCTGAATGCATTTCTGAATGATTTTAATCTGATATGACTGTATTTTTGCCTTTGTGGTCATTTATTTCACTGAAAAGTGGAACGGTGAAGAAAAAATTTAGTTATTGAAATTTCTGATTGGTTAGATTCTATTAATTGAAATACCGTGCATTGTTTGTTGTTTAGTTTATTTGGTCCTGAACATTTTCTTCTCAGGATTAAAAAAAATAATAACTAGGAAATCTAAGTTGTTTGGAACAGCTTTTACCTTTTAACTAATAGTTTTTAAGTAATCATCAATAATGAACCCATCATGGTAATAGGGGTTCAGAAATAACAAAATACAAGCATTATGGATATTCCTCAGTGTGAGGGGGTGAGAGGGATAATTTTCAAAACATATTTTTACTAATTACAAATTGAAATGAGCTTCTATCCATTCTCATAGATCAATCAGAACAAGAATAATTCTATTTCATGCATTGATTAAACCAAAACAAAAGTGAAGGTCATTAACTTGACTGAATTATTGAGTTTGCATTAGGGATTCTAACCTTAAATAACAAGTCTTTATTCATTCTCTAAGTTGAAATCTGTTGGGGTCATTAGGAGAACCTTATGCATCTGGCTAACATTTACTCCCAAACCTGGCATCTATGACCTACTCCCGCACTTTGATCTGTGTATGCTATTTATGCGTCAAGTAAAACTGCTTTTCAGATGCAGCCATACCTTCTATAGTGGCTCACGATTTTGATACTTAAATATTTTTCTCTTATAACACAAAGATTAACACAGTGCTCAGATATTGTAGAAAATAAGCCTGGAAACAAAGCTATTCCATCAGATGTTTCTTCACTGTATTTATTAGGTTTTATCATCTTGAAAACTCAACGAAGTCACTTTATTTATTCATTCATTCATTAACAAAGCACCTGAGAATCAAGCTGAGTATGACCAAGGGCATGAGGTTTTATCTCCAGTTCCAGAGATCTAGTTTACCTTTGTTTAGAGTTAACAAAGGTATAGATGCTACCTTGTAAGATGCTCTGCCAGGTAAATAGTTGAGATATACACTTAGCCACTGTTTCTGGTCAAGCCTGCTGTCCTCAAGCCTTTGTTGCATATGGGACTATATTACTGAAGGAAAAATAAGCGAAGCTGTTAACTCTGGCCTCTAGTAGATGATGCTAGCTTTAACAATAAACATATGTTGTTGGGCGTCATGATTTATTCACTTCATTGGACTTGTTTACCTCTTGGAAAGACCTGGATTTTGGAAAGGGGAAAATGCCATTACCTTGGAGCTGAAAAGAGTTCTTCTCTGTCTGTAGCTTAAAGGATTTCTCTAATTGTAGATCCCAAGAGATAAAGAGAACTGACAATGTAGCTTTGAAACAAATCCTAATAGCATACAATCATCCATTTAATCAATAACATAGTTGAAGAATGTCCTATTTTGACACAAAAATGTTGTGGTTAAGGATGTTTGGAACACATGGATGATCAATAAATATTTGGTGAATTCAGACCATTGTTCCAGGTTAATTCATGCCATACACTCGTCTATCTCTACCAAGAATTCAGTATTCCCTATGGCATTTTCCTTTAGCAAATAAAACAGGAGGCAAACACAGTATATCAAATCTTACCCTAATAACCACACTTCTAGCCCTTCTCGGGGCATAAATAGTGATGGCCAAGATAGACTACTCCTGAGAACCGTGTCTTGCTGCTTCACCCAGAAAACAAAGCACAAATCAGCCCAAGGGCCTTGCATTTCACTGTGATGAGGCAACTTCAGAAACTCAAAGCTTAAATGGAGTTGTGTGTTCTTTTCCACTCTTATCTTGAAGAGATACCTGTCATTTCCTTCAGAAAGTATTTGGCTGGCCTTCATGATAGCAGCAGGCAATTGCTATTGTTCCTAAATTCAGAAGAAGCTTAGCTTAGAATGAAAGCACATATATTAATTAGAGGAGAACTAGCGACATTGCAGTCTGATGGTTTACAGAATATTATCCTTTTCCAGGAATAATAAGGCTTCCCTTTAACGGTTTTAACTGGTGATTACTGACAAAAATGAAAGAAAAACAGCTCATTCTATTCTAGCAAGTCAATAAGGAAACGCCTAGAATTAACTGATTCTTATTTGCCAAAGGCAAAATATTCCAACCCAATGAACAACAAATGATCAAGCTGGTTCTCATTTTCTCTTCATTTTAAAAAAATTTTTCCATGTTTTTGAAAAATAATCAGTAAATAAGAAACAATTGCACCCAGGTGTTTAAACATTCTGTTGACAAAATGGTCTTCAGAAATGGAAAGGCTTAATTGTTTGTTAGAGATTATACAACATATTATTATGTCAATATTTTATAACAATCACATAACTGAACTCTCTCACTTTAGAGAGAAATTGATGCTGGGAACACTCACCTGAGTTGATGTCAGAGGAATATGACTTGAGTCTTCTCTCTCTCAGGCAATTATAGAACCCACTCTGCATTTTTTAACATCATGCATCATTTCATTAGTCATGAAAACTTGTTTAGTCTATGAGTTTATCAAAGATTCAGGTTTATCTTTTCTCAAAGATTCAGGGAGTAGGAAAGAGTATGTGTTTGGATTTCAGATTATTTCCCTTTGTACCTCCAGGTGAAAGAACTACTGGTCAAGGATGGTCAGCAGGTAGAAATTTCAGGGGTGGAACTATAAGCCATAGAAAAAGATTCAAAACCTCAGCATCATCCATGTTGCAAGAACTTAGGCAAGGATTTAACTCTTCTTACTTTTTAATCTTCATCCCTAAAAGAAGTTATTTAGATTAAATAGTGTACAATATCCTGCAAGCCATAACATTCTATGGTTCGATGAAATAGGGCCAAGAGCTTGAATAATCCATTATTTGCCTCCTTAAGACCGAAGAATTAAACATAAATCAAGATTCTTATTTTTACATCATTATTTATCAGAAGTTCTGAATTTCATGCTAGTACCTTACCTGGAAACAATAATGATAATGATAGCTAATACTTATATACAATTACTATGACTTTATAAGGTTGGTAATGCTATCATCGCCATTTTACAGATGAGAAACCTGGATACTAAAGTAGTTAAATTACCTGCCCAATTTGACACAGGTAACAAGTTTGTGCTACCATGCTACACCGCCTCTATAAAAACCACAAATCTGACAGATAGATAGCTGATGTGTGCCATTTATAGCCACTTGACACACCAGCCAATTCTCTGGAGAATTTCTATTTTAGCTCAATTTTTTACTAGAAGAGCAACCAAGATGGTGAATAGAACTTCAGTCCTGTGTGTGGGAATCTACATTGTCTTTCTGTAAGATGGCTCTTGTGCTTTTGCAATTGATGTCATTGACCAATTGTTTACGTGATTCAGCATTGAATGTTGGTGCTGTGCAGGTGGCTGCATGTGGTGAGGACCACTCTTCTGCCTCTTCCCAGAATGTGTGGCCAGCCACACCACCAGAAATAGATGGATGCTGGTGCAGGATCAATCCAGCACCTTCTAATGCTATAAAGGTCAGCCCACCACATCTTTACTGTTCAGTAGAGTCTTCTAGCTTCTGCCTTTAGGTTTTTGACTCAGTGTAACAATCTAGACAGCTTTTACAGTAGAGAGGGAGAGCTCCCAGAGTGTCATTTCCTGGAGGTAGGCTTGGGTCAAGGCTAAGACTAAAACTTTCAAAATCATGTTGTGAAAATCGTTTTCTTCTCATTAATCCTATGTTAACAAATTAGTCATAAATACAATACACCACAGTACCCATCTGTTTCACTGTGTATTTCAATGTACTGAATATACAAATGGGCATTTAGCTCTTAATATGGTATATCTAACCAGCTGAGAATGCTCTGACAGTAGTCAAATATACATGTTTATTCTTTAGCTCTAGTTTCTGGCTTGTTAAACTAGCTACATATCCCATCAACACCAAGGCCAATTACGGAATACATAACTCTACTTCTTCCTCTGTGGTTTTCTTTTTTTTTTTTTTTTTTTTTTTTGAGACGGAGTCTCGCTCTGTCGCCCAGGCCGGACTGCGGACTGCAGTGGCGCAATCTCGGCTCACTGCAAGCTCTGCTTCCCGGGTTCACGCCATTCTCCTGCCTCAGCCTCCCGAGTAGCTGGGACTACAGGCGCCCGCCACCGCGCCCGGCTAAGTTTTTGTATTTTTAGTAGAGACGGGGTTTCACCTTGTTAGCCAGGATGGTCTCGATCTCCTGACCTCATGATCCACCCGCCTCGGCCTCCCAAAGTGCTGGGATTACAGGCGTGAGCCACCGCGCCCGGCCTCCTCTGTGGTTTTCTAGATACTCTGTGGGGAGCGGGATGGCCTAGGAGTCAGAAGATCTGCTTTCCAGACTCAGCTTTGAAATGTACTACCTGTGACACTTGGGCCAGCACCATTCACTACTTCAAGACTGAACTTCCTTACCTTTAAAATAGGGGTAATAGATCTTGCCCCTCACATTACAAATAGGGCCAGTGAGATGGCATTAATTAAAGCTCCTTGTTAACCATAGAGTTAGTCCAGAGGAAAGAGATGGGTTTTCCATCCTTTCAGTCTTTCCCAGCCAGAAATTACTCTCAAGCTGTTGATACCCAATTCTGAACCAGGGTTGACAGCTAAATCAATGTCTTCAAGGTTAAGAAGAGCTTGGATTTAAATTTGTAAATCTAGAAAATGGCACTTACAATAGGAGAGGCCTCCTGGTTTCTTCCAAATTAATGGTCCTCAACCTGAGGCAATGTCACCTCAATAAGGGGTATTTTATATTGTCACAGATACTGGAGGAGAGGGGAGTTACTACTGACTTTTGGTGGACTGGGATCTAGAATGTTAAATATCCTGCATTAGACAGAAAAATCCTGCAGAATAAAAAATGTCCTGTCCAAAATGCCAATAGCACTCCACCCCCACTGAAAAATACCGCTCTAAGTAATGTGCTGTTCCTGGTCCCTAATTCTCCAATTGATGCAGACAGAGAGCGTTTACTTTTCATCTCCACCCACAGGTGAAATCCAGCCATGCTCATGTGAGGTCTGTAGTAGTTATTGTTCAGAAGTATGACCAGACTTCCAGTAAGTTTACCAATAAGTAAAACAATGGGGTCAGAGATCAGTGGTTTTAAAATTAGCCCCCAGAAGCTCCTACAAAAAGCCTCCTCCAACCTCTGCAGGGGCAAAGATTCCCAGCAGGTTAATATGCCTATAATGTGAGAGCTGGCCTAAAGGTTGGCATTTAGGGATGCAAAATCAGTAAATCATGATTCTAAAATGACTATCTTTGCAATTTATTGAAGAAACATTGTAATATTCACTTGTTTTATGACAAGCATGGGCCTAGCTAGGCACTGGATATGAGACATAATCCCTGCCTCAAGTCACCAGTAATCTGAAAGTTCCACAGATGTAATCCCCACTAATTATGTATGCAACATGACACATGCTATAACATATTATGAGGGAGCCTCCAAGGAGAGACCAGGAAACAATTCACTTCCACAGAGGAAATTATAATTGAACAGTATCTTGAATGGTATATAATATTTTTTCAGGTGGATAAATGAGAGAGAAAGCTATTGTAGAAATGGGACCAGCATAAGCAAATGCTGAAGGTGTGAACAGAAATGATACAAGTGCAGGCTGACCTTATCTGGCTGGTGGGAGGTCATACTGGAAGGACTGAAGAAACTTGAATACAGATAGGTGGATGTATTTATTCAGCCAGGGGCTTATCCTTTGAACAGGGATTTTATGAGTATCTTAGGAATATCATTTGAATTCAGGGCTCATGGAGTCCAATCTTGTAACTAGAAGAAATCTCAGAAATCACCCTACCATGCTCTTTTCCCTATGTATTACAGTTGAAGTAGTTAAAACCCAGAGATATTGAGTGACTTGCCCAAAGTCAGCTAGTAAATTTGTGGCAGTATAAGAGCTAGAACCTAGTCCCTCCTCTCAGTTCATAGCATTTTGTCCTGCTCTGTGCTGCCTTTGGGAATTTTAGCCATCAATTGAGCATAACCCAATGTAACACACAAAGTGACTACTAAATATTCATGAAGCTCAAGTTTTCCATTGTTCACTATGAAGCTATACCATTGTTCCTTAATTACAAGCAGGTGATAGATAAGACCCTGCTTCTACATTCTGAGCTCCTTCTACATACAGCATTCTCTTCAGAAACACAGACAGACAGTACACTAACACATGAGCATGACATCCTTTGCCTGCCACACACATCCTCCCCTGCCTCCTCATTTCAAACTGCCAGAGATTATGGAGTCACAGCCTGAACAGAAGGCATCTTAATCTCTGGTGGTTCTGTAAATAATATGCTGTTCATGCTTGCATATAAATTATCACAGTCTCTCTATTTTCTAGATGAGGGAGGCTTCAGAAAGATGAAGCTGCCTGCACACAGAGCACATAAGAGATAGGATTTCAGACTCCAGAGTTTCAGCCCTCTTTGTAACAGGGTTGAATTTTTCCCTCATCTACATGCTCCTAATAATTTATCCAGGCTTATGGTCTTAAATTTCACCTTATAGCCAAATTAATCTAGTCTCTGTATATTTAGGTTTCTAAAATCAGTTACTTCTTACTTCCCTTTCTCTCTAACCACTTTTCCTCCACCCTTCATTCAATAAGCATTTAATAGAAATCACCTAAGCTAATCCATTCAGTTGATGAGAATAGAAACTGAGACCCAGAGAGGTGAAGCCACTTGCCCAGGTTTGCTCAGTTAAAAGCAGTACGGTGACTAGATTCCCTGACTCCCAGTCCAGGGCTTTGCCCTTCACACTATACTGCTATTTCCCAAGGATAAATAACATGGCATTTCCCACTCTCAGGCTCCCTCACTCCTTGCACAACCCCACAGGATGGATAGAAATGACTGATTGCATGTGCTCTGAGGTTCATTCCAGGACCTTTTCTAGAATTCCCACAACTTGTTATCCTTCATGCTGTATTGGCCCATCTATCACATTAAGAAGCTGGTTAGGGAAGAGTTTGACATACTTTCTGGTCTAGGATATTTATGATCAATGCCACCACTCAGGTAGTGATCACCATAGGAAACAGTGTGCTCAGGAAGAAAAAGGGCAGAGTCCATGGCTCCCATCATTTGAGAATAAGGCAAAGCTCACCCAGAGTTTACTGTAAGTGGCAGGATATTAGATTCATAATCCCAGAGACCAGGCAATTGGGCAATTAGATGGATTTAAGCAAGATTGGGAGTGGCCAAGAAAGTGAAAAAAGACAACTGCCAAACCACTTCTGCTTCAGGGGCAGGGTATTTTGCCTGGATTGATCACCATGATGCATTTCATTACTGTAGACAAAGATCACATTGATAAAAGACTTTTTTAAATCAATTGAACTAAAATTTTCCATTTATACATAACTTCTCAGGAATCGTTTTAAGACAAAACCAGATGGTATTTCAGTAAAGATTATATTGAAAAGAGAAGCAAGTAAGAGAGGAAAGAAACCCCAGAACTAGCTTCTCAGGTAGGGCTTTGTAGGGTCACAATTGTCTCACAGGCTGATCAGGCTAATTAGGTACAGAAGCTTAATTTTATCAGTTTTATCAAGAGTGATCCAGCTCTGAAGAATCTAGCCATGCTCCCCAGGTCCCAAGAGACTGATTTGTTAGCTAGATGCCAATATAGCCACATACAATAGAAGATGCTTCTAAGTGTGGCCCAGGCTATTTCCTTCCTAATAGCAGGACCATGAGAAAACCAAATGAGTGGTCAAAGATAACCTGTGGGCACAGTGTCAGGATTAATGGAGTGGGACAGACAGTCTTGTGAAATGTGCCATTCAGGCTGCAACAGAGACAAGAGAACTCTTCCAAACTCCACCCAAGAACACTTTTCAGGTTACCAGAATAGTTGTGTCCTTCAAAAACAGGGTCTTGTTCTCTCTGTTTCGCTAGTGGTGAAGAAACTGGCAAATTATTTTGGGAAAAGATGGAGACTTTATCTAGTCTTTATGCAGCCCCCATCTTCCTTAGGGTATTATTCTAGGCATGTTATAATACTCAACTCATAGCCTATCTTACTTGTGTCAGTGACATCTTGTCCAAAGCCCCTTACCAAATCTTTGAACTCCTGGGCCTAATTCTCTGCTAAGGCAATGAAGATAGATCAGCAAAATCATTATCATTATTCACGTACTTGTATAAGATCCATTACGATTAGTCTGCTTCTGAGAAAGTTGTTTAATTGTGGATGAACTGTACAGATGGTGAGAATCATGGTCTCAGGTGGCATGGCACTTGAATCTCATATTAGTGACAATCTTTTGTTGGTCTCCTTTGGAGAGTTCTGGTAGATGCCACTGATTAACCATCAATAATAAATAAACCATCCAAGTGGTTGGGTTATTTCTGTAAGGGACACATCTCTTGTATTTTGTGCTAATTCTGTTTGTGTCATTTCAGAGGGCACTATGATCTGGCCTTGCTCTGAGTGCACCTGAGTCTGGTTTATCCTTGTCAGTAATCTCCATGTGTGGACCCTGACATTTGAAACTGAATCTGTTAGTCACTCTCACTACAGAAAACAGTCATGTGGCGACTATGACTCATCTACAAAATGCTGAAGGAATAGACTCCCAAGAGGTTTTTTTTAAAAATCACGCAACATTGCTACCTCTAAAAGAGGCCAAACAACCATTTTGAATATTTTTATTTTCCCCTTGAGCTGACTGGTTATCCTGATTCTGAGTAGGAACAAACTACACAGACAGTTTGGGATTCATTTTAGAGTCTGTCCTAGTCACAAAGACTTTTGACACACTTTCTATTCCAGCATCACAATGCAGAGGAAGAAAATATCTGAATGAGTAGAGACTGTCGTGCCAGAAATAAATTCCTAATATAGACAACAGAAATATGCCAGTAGAGAATTTAACTATCAAAACAAAAACAAGAATTCCCTGTTTCAATACTCTTAGTGAATAGCCTCTGTTCTTCCTTTCTGCCCCCAAGTCTATTTCAACCTACAGTTATAAATAAACACTCTGATCCCATTACAGCACATTAAGAATCTAGAGAAAACTTGTCATTTGAGTACTATCATCTCTTTACACATATGATTCCAATATAGCAACTTATTGAGTGCTCTTCTTAAAGTCAAGAATAATTTGACAGCTATATCATAATACTTATAATAATAGTAGCAATCACATTTACTCATTTAATCATATAAAGTAGATATTAATATCCTCATTTTACAGATGAGGATTATAAAATTTGAATGACTGGCCCAAGTTCTCACAGCCAGTGAAGGTTAGAGTCAAGATTCAAAGACCATGCCATCTGACACCATGATCCTCACCATCTATACAGTCCATCTGCAATTTAAAAATTCTCTCAGAAGCTGATCAATCCTAATGGATCTTATACAAGTGCATGGATAATAAGAATGACTTTGCAGGTCTATCTTCATTGCCTTAGCAGAGAATTAGGCCCAGGAGTTCACAGATTTGGTATGGGACTTTGGACAAGTCTTACTTTTTCTTTCTTTCTTTCTTTTTTTTTTTTTTTTTTTTTGAGACAGAGTCTCCCTCTATTGCCCAGGCTGAAGTGCAGTGGCACAGTCTTGGCTCTCTGCAACCTCCATTTCCTGGGCTCAAGTGATTCTCCTGCCTCAGCCTCCTGAGTAGTTGGGACTACAGGCGTGCACCACCATGCCCAGCTAGTTTTTTTGTATTTTTAGTAGAGATGGGGTTTCACCATATTGGCCAGGCTGGTCTCAAGCCCATGACCTTGTGATCTGCCTGCCTTGGCCTCCCAAAGTGCTGGGATTACAGGCATGAGCCAACGTGCCTGGCCAAGTCTTACTTTTTCTAGGACTGTCACTACATCTAAGAAAGAAATAATAGCTTTTTATTCATTTAGTTATTCATTAATTCATTCAACAAACATACTAAAAACTGAAGCTATAATGGGAGAAAAACAGACTAGGAAGCATTAATAAAGATAGGAACCATTTTCTTGAGTAATGTTGCTAAACAATATTGTTGCTAAAATAAAAACAATATGAAGTCCCAATTGCCTCAGGTATGTGGAAGATTATGTTCAAGATTTATTGTTTTGGTTTTAGTTTTCTTCATCAGTGAAGTGACTTGAATTAGTCTCACGTAACTGTCAAGGAAACAAAATTACAGGCCCTAATGACCAACATAATATAACTTACTGCTTACAAAAACAAAGGCCTAGATCCTCAAGGCTCCTGTGAGTGGTTTGTGAAAGACAGATTTGCCCTAAACTGTCAGCAATACACACTACATCTCTAGACTTAAATTAATATTCTAGAAGTTCAAGATGTATCTACATGTGCCAGGAACTCATTTCTTTCAGTGAAGGCTCAGATTGTTTGATTACCCCAAAGCAAGAGCATAGTACAGGAAGACTAATAAGCTGTAATGGGAGAACTGATGGCAGAAGGGATATTTATTAAGTAAAGCAGAATGGGGGTTTTGAAAGGAAGGCAAGTAATTTGAAAGGCCATTTTGTTTAGTTTAAGAGAGTTCTAAAGTTTAATCTGGATGATGGACTGGAGTATATTAAGGAAATGTTGAGTGAGAGAATGAAAAAGAAAATTAAGTCAACAATAAAAGAAGGGGTGAGGAACAAAAAAATCACCTGTTGGGTACAATGCACACTATTTGGGTGATGGGTGCACTAAAAGCCCAGACCTCACCACTACACAATTTATCCATGTAACCAAAACCACTTGTACTCCTAAAGCTATTGGGGTGGGTGGGGGGTGGTTTGGAAAAAAAGTATGGGAAAAAGAGAAAAGAAATGACATTAATTTTTAGATACTTTTTATCCTTGGGAAAGTTAGGATAGAAGGCATAGGGGCATCTGCTGAGCAGTACAAAGTGAAAATGCATCTCATTCCCCACAATGAAATACTTTACCAGTGTCCGGGCTTCGGAGTGAGAAGTACATGTAAATAAATAGTTGTCTCTTTCTCAGTTTTGAATCATTCCATTTGTTTCCAATTTTCAGAAATCACTTACAAGAGATATCATCATTAAGCCATTAACTAATGGATCCCAACCGCACCAAGCCTAGAAGCCTAGTTTATATACAGAAAACTATTTGGACCCTCTTTTTATTTTATTTTATTTTATTTTATTTTATTTTATTTTTTGAGACAGGGTCTCACTCTGTTGCCGAGGCTAGAGTACGGCGGTGCAATTATGGCTTACTGCAACCTTGACCTAGCAGGGCTCAACTGATCCTCCCACCTCAGCCTCCGGACTAGCTGGAACTACAGGCATGCGCCACCACACCTGGCTAATTTTTGTATTTTTTTTGTAGAGACAGGGTTTTGCCATGTTGCCCAGGCTGATCTCAAACTCCTAGGCTCAAGCAGTCATCTGCCTTGGCCTCCCAAAGTGCTGGCATGAACCACTGTGTCTGGCCTACTATTTGGACTTTTAAGGTGATTTTCTCCTCTTTAGGCAAGGAACATCAAGCCTTTCCTAGCATAAGACCAAAAACAAACCAAAAAATCAAGAGGAGATCAGTCATTAGAAAATAGAATAAATTTACCAGCTTAATCTCAGCTTGTATGCAGGGGCCAACTTCTAAGTTTAAAACTAAAAAACCCTTCAAAAAATTAATGAATCCAGGAGCTGGTATTTTGAAAGGATCAACAAAATTGATAGACCGCTAGCAAGACTAATAAAGAAGAAAGGAGAGAAGAATCAAATAGATGCAATAAAAAGTGATAAAGGGGATATCACCACCGACCCCACAGAAATACAAACTACCATCAGAGAATACTACAAACACCTCTACACAAATAAACTAGAAAATCTAGAAAAAATGGATAAATTCCTGGACACATACACCCTCCCAAGACTAAACCAGGAAGAAGTTGAATCTCTGAATAGACCAATAACAGGAGCTGAAATTGTGGCAATAATCAATAGCTTACCAACCAAAAAGAGACCAGGACCAGATGGATTCACAGCCGAATTCTACAGAGGTACAAGGAGGAACTGGTACCATTCCTTCTGAAACCATTCCAATCAATAGAAAAAGAGGGAATCCTCCCTAACTCATTTTATGAGGCCAGCATCATCCTGATACCAAAGCCTGGCAGAGACACAACCAAAAAAGAGAATTTTAGACCAATATCCTTGATGAACGCTGATGCCAAAATCCTCAATAAAATACTGGCAAACCGAATCCAGCAGCACATCAAAAAGCTTATCCACCATGATCATGTGGGCTTCATCCCTGGGATGCAAGGCTGGTTCAACATACGCAAATCAATAAATGTAATCCAGCATATAAACAGAACCAAAGACAAAAACCACATGATTATCTCAATAGATGCAGAAAAGGCCTTTGACAAAATTCAACAACCCTTCATGCTAAAAACTCTCAATAAATTAGGTATTGATGGGATGTATCTCAAAATAATAAGAGCTATCTATGACAAACCTACAGCCAATATCATACTGAATGGGCAAAAACTGGAAGCATTCCCTTTGAAAACTGGCACAAGACAGGGATGCCCTCTCTCACCACTCCTATTCAACATAGTGTTGGAAGTTCTGGCCAGGGCAATTAGGCAGGGGAAGGAAATAAAGGGTATTCAATTAGGAAACGAGGAAGTCAAATTGTCCCTGTTTGCAGATGACATGATTGTATATCTAGAAAATCCCACTGTCTCAGCCCAAAATCTCCTTAAGCTGATAAGCAACTTCAGCAGAGTCTCAGGATACAAAATCAATGTACAAAAATCACAAGCATTCTTATACACCAATAACAGACAAACAGAGAGCCAAATCATGAGTGAACTCCCATTCACAATTGTTTCAAAGAGAACAAAATACCTAGGAATCCAACTTACAAGGGACGTGAAGGAACTCTTCAAGGAGAACTACAAACCACTGCTCAATGAAATAAAAGAGGATACAAACAAATGGAAGAACATTCCATGCTCATGGGTAGAAAGAATTAATATCGTGAAAATGGCCATACTGCCCAAGGTAATTTATAGATTCAATGCCATCCCCATCAAGCTACCAATGACTTTCTTCACAGAACTGGAAAAAACTACTTTAAAGTTCATATGGAACCAAAAAAGAGCCCACATCGCCAAGTCAATCCTAAGCCAAAAGAACAAAGCTGGAGGCATCATGCTACCTGACTTCAAACTATACTACAAGGCTACAGTAACCAAAACAGCATGGTACTTTTTACCAAAACAGAGATATAGATCAATGGAACACAACAGAGCCCTCAGAAATAACACCGCATATCTACAACTATCTGATCTTTGACAAACCTGAGAAAAACAAGCAATGGGGAAAGGATTCCCTATTTAATAAATGGTACTGGGAAAACTGGCTAGCCATATGTAGAAAGCTGAAACTGGATCCCTTCCTTACACCTTATACAAAAATTAATTCAAGATGGATTAAAGACTTAAATGTTAGACCTAAAACCATAAAAACCCTAAAAGAAAACCTAGGCATTACCATTCAGGACATAGGCATGGGCAAGGACTTCATGTCTAAAACACCAAAAGCAATGGCAACAAAAGCCAAAATTGACAAGTGGGATCTAATTAAACTAAAGAGCTTCTGCACAGCAAAAGAAACTACCATCAGAATGAACAGGCAACCTACAAAATGGGAGAAAATTTTCACAACCTACTCATCTGACAAAGGGCTAATATCCAGAATCTACAATGAACTCAAACAAATTTACAAGAAAAAAAAAACAACCCCATCAAAAAGTGGGCAAAGGACATGAACAGACACTTCTCAAAAGAAGACATTTATGCAGCCAAAAAACACATGAAAAAACGCTCACCATCACTGGCTATCAGAGAAATGCAAATCAAAACCACAATGAGATACCATCTCACACCACTTAGAATGGCAATCATTAAAAAGTCAGGAAACAACAGGTGCTGGAGAGGATGTGGAGAAATAGGAACACTTTTACACTGTTGGTGGGACTGTAAACTAGTTCAACCATTGTGGAAGTCAGTGTGGCGATTCCTCAGGGATCTAGAACTAGAAATACCATTTGACCCAGCCATCCCATTACTGGGTATATACCCAAAGGCCTATAAATCATGCTGCTACAAAGACACATGCACACGTATGTTTACTGCGGCACTATTCACAATAGCAAAGACTTGGAACCAACCCAAATGTCCAACAATGATAGACTGGATTAAGAAAATGTGGCACATATACACCATGGAATACTATGCAGCCATAAAAAATGATGAGTTCATGTCCTTTGTAGGGACATGGATAAAATTGGAAATCATCATTCTCAGTAAACTATCGCAAGGACAAAAAACAAAACACCGCATATTCTCACTCATAGGTGGGAATTGAACAGTGAGAACACATGGACACAGGAAGGGGAACATCACATTCTGGGGACTGTTGTGGGGTGGGGGGAGGGGGGAGGGATAGCTTTAGGAGATATACCTAATGCTAAATGATGAGTTAATGGGTGCAGCACACCAGCATGGCACATGTATACATATGTAACTAACCTGCACATTGTGCACATGTACCCTAAAACTTAAAGTATAATAATAATAAAATAAAATAAAAAAATAAAAAATAAAAGTAGGACAATATCAGTTGTAAATGAATGTTTAAGGTGTAACTTGTAGAATGACTGCATCATATCTCTCAGGGTGGTCTATTTCAACTTCGCTTTAAATGTTAAAGCAAAAGTCTTGCTTTGGGGTTTGTTTCGTTTTGTTTTGTTTTTCTTTTCTTTTTCTCTTTTTTTTTTTTAACTGAACTATAAGGTGATCCTCACCAGAATTTTTTGGGTGCTCAGCTGCTTGCAGTTTTCTTAAAGAAGTATTTTATTACAAGCTCAATGGCTGTAGGATGAGTGAAACTCATCTCTTCCGGGCCTTGACGGCTGAACTAAGGAGATTAGACCTTAAGCCACAGGCAGTGGGAGCCACCAAAAGTGGTTGTGACAGGGACAGTGATGGAAGGTTCTGACAACAGTGAGTGGGATGGATGTGGCAGGAGAGAAACAAGAGACAGAGGAGAGAAGCTGGAAATAGAAAGTCAAGTCAGGAGATTAAACTGAAAATTGTGCAAGAAAAAGAGCATTTCATTGCTATAGAATCAGGGCCCATTTTTGCTATTTGTTGGCAATGTTTAACCATCCATATCACTGAAATCTTGTTTGAGAAGAACTTAGCTCCAACTTCGAACACTAAGGAGAAAGATGACCTCTCCTCTCCTTGGCTCTACACCTGACTCCAGTCTCCCAACTTTTACTCTCAGCTGAAAGGACTCCTCCACTTACGGTAAAAGGGTTAGCAGAAATGAGCAGAGGTACAGAGAGGGAGAAAAACCAGATGAGCTTTGCATGCTTGGAACCAAAACAATGCCGAGGAAGCAAGCACCCAGAGGGGTGGAGCTGGGCAGTGGTTTCAGCACATCCCTCCCTCACTGTGTTAGCCTCACCTCACACAGGTCCCTTTGCTTCTCTGGGCCTTAAATTCCTCTTCTATAAGACAGAAGGGCAACCACAGATGATTGCCATGGTTCCTTCAGGCTGGAAAATTTATATCAGCAGCATATTATTAATTTAAGGATGCATTGCATGAATCATATTCAATTCAATCCAATTCCAGTATGAACCACTCCACAAAATGCCAAAGCTCCTAAGGGCATGCTTTCCCCACTTTATTTTTCTACCTCCCATTTCTTGTTTTTTTCCATTACTCTTCTGATGCAGTATTTTCCCCCTCTTCCACTTGTTTCTTCATTTTCTAGTAATAGCAGGGAAGGGGTCATTCAATAGGACCAGAAGCTGAGATCATCTGTTTATCCACAGGACAAGGAGGAACCAAGGCCCAGCCAGCCAGCTCTTTCCCACACTCTTCTGCTGGTGACCCTCAACCCTACACCAGCAAGAAGAGGAAGTCAAGCTCAGCCTCCCTCTGACTTTTTTTGCACTCCTTTCTTCACCAAGCTGCAGGGTTCCGGATGTTGTAGACAACTCTCCTCCTCGCTGTCTACAGACCCATCAAGGAGGCTGTTGTCACCCCTTTTTCCTAGGAAAAGTATCAAAGAGGGAGACAATTTGCACAAATCTTGTTCTAGCTTAGCTTGAAAATAACCACCATGGACACATGCACATGAACACATGCAGCCCCCAGTCTTTTATCTGCAACTGCCTCTATTTAACTTTAGCCTGCTCAAATCCAGCAGATCAGCAGAACCATGGCAGCCCCACTCCCAAGGAAAGGACTAGACCCTGACTAGTCACTTATTTTCTAGTCCTCTTAGCTACTACTGCAGTTGAGAGCCATCACCTCCTTGCATTGCTCATCTCAGCTAGCGAAGAGCCCAGGCAGGGTCTCCTCTACCATGCTACCCTACTCTACCCCACCCCTGCCAGGCCAGGGATTCCTACTTCCTGCTTGTATGTCTCACCTCCTATGCCAACTTGGTTCTCTTTCTTGTGAAACAACTGAAGTTGCCTTGAAATAGTAAGGGCAGAACACAGAATCTATCCTGGTCTTCAGAGCCTAAAGAGACTAGAGATTTCCTTCTAACAATCGAGGCTTCTGTAGCAAGAACCAGATTATTGAATTTCTAGAAGTCCTAAAACAAAACAAAACAAAACAAAAACCCACTCACTTCTCAAAATAGGCCTACAGGGCCTGAATCTACATAAAGCCCAAAGCAGGAAAGACAGGAAAGACTTAGTTGCCAAACAAGTGCTATAGAAAGTGCAAGTTACATTAAAATTAGAGGTAGCAGTTGGTCCACCCCCATCACCTAGAGTACTGACAACACTGCGTTTTAATATGTATGCACCAGGCATTTCATATACATTAACACAAATTAGGGCAACAGTCCTATAAGGTGGACATTATCCTCATTTTTTAGATGAAGAAACCAGTGCTTAGAAAGAATATACACTTGTAACAGGTAGGGCAAGGACTGTAACACAGACTTGTCTGGCTTCAGAGACTAGAGGCTTTGTAGAAAGCTACCTTGCCTCTGCAAAAGGATAAACTGCTAAAACATAAACTTCATGAAATAAAACCAAAATCAGTAAACTGGAGGGAGACCCCTGTGTCCTGGGACTATTGCCTCTAACTAGCAGCATGACCCTGGGCACATCTTTTGGGTTTCAGTTTCTTTGTCTATGAAATGACAGTGTCAGATCCAATTGTTTCTTCCAGCTCCAGCACTGGAGAGTGTGCTTTCTAGTCCTGCATGCCTCCTCAGCGAGCAAGGGACCAGCAGCTACAATCTAACCTCAGCACAACAGATCTCTAACAACAGGAAGTGCCTTTTCGGAGGCTCTGGAAATGATTCAGAATCAGTTTCTGTTCTCCAGTGAGGACCTATAATTTCTATGACTGCAATTCCCCACTGGTCAGGGCTGGCTTAGGTAGCATTCACTGCTGTTTATTACCCCGCCACTCCATGACACTCTCTGACGACACTGGAGAGAGGATCTGTGCTCCATACTTGTCACACATGGGTTTAAAGGGGTAGTGACTCAAAAGTGAAATGGGGAGAAAAGATAAATGTTACACACCCACACATAGCTCTTATATGAAAATCCATCACTAGAACATAATAGTAAGGCTGGAATTATTTACTGATAAGGATTCGTTATTTAATAAAAGAAATCACCAGGATTCCTATCAGTAGTGTGTTCACAGTTCATCAAAGACTGAATGTGATGAAGAGATAAATCTAAATCTAATGTACTATGAATCAAAGCTAACCAAATGCAGATGAAAACCAAAGAGGGTGCATGTATTATTTAATGTGAAAATGGGATACTCTGTTTGCAAAAATTTGCTTTATATACAATCTTTAAGACCAGTGTTTGTTGGGCCGGGCGCGGTGGCTTACGCCTGTAATCCCAGCAGTTTGGGAGGCTGAGGTGGGTGGATCACCTGAGGTCAGGAGTTCGAGACTAGCCTGACCAACATGGTGAAACCCTGTCTCTACTAAAAAAAATACAAAAATTAGCTGGGCATGATGGTGGGTGCCTGTAATCCCAGCTACTCAGGAGGCTGCGGCTGGAGAATTGCTTGAACCCAGGAGGCAGAGGTTGCAGTGAGCCGAGATCGCACCATTGCACTCCAGCCTGGGCGACAGAGTAAGACTCCATCTCAAAAAAAAAAAAAAAAAACAAACAAACAAACAGTGTTTGTTGAACTGATGTGAGTGCACCTTTTTTGCAGCAGGAGGCCCAGCAATATAAATCTTTGCAAATGGGCGGGGTACACACCAGTAAGAGAGAGGGAGGGAGGTGAAGGTGAGATATGAGACAGCAGATGTGTGCATAGAAAGGCATCATGGTGGCAAATATTGTATTGACTTTTTTTAAAATGGAAGGGTGTTGATAGAAGAGAGGTTGAGATGCAATTCTTCAAGTTAAATGACCAAAAAGAAGCTTCACCTAAACCATCTAGAATATCAGTAGGGTTCCTTTGGTCAGCACATTAACCATTAAAGGGAGTTTTACAGGTGAAAATAATATTTCTTGGCCAGGAACAGTAGTGCACACCTGTAATCCCAGCACTTTGGGAAGCCCAGGTGGTCAGTTGACTTGAGGCCAGAAGTTTGAGACCAGCCTGGCCAACATGGCAAAACCCCATCTCTACTAAAAAATACAAAAATTAGACAGGAGTGGTAGTGTGCACCTGTAATCCCAGCTACTCAGGAGGCTGAGTCATGAGACTCGCTTAAACCCAGGAGGCCTCTAGAGGTCACAGTGAGTTGAGATCGTGCCACTGTACTCCAGCCTGGGTGACAGAGCAAGGCTCTGTCTCAAAAAAAAGAAATGGAATAATAATAATAATATTTCTTGTAGCAAGGCTGCAGCTAAACAATGACAGAGCATTGGGAAATCTCATTGCTGCCTCTGTGGTTTACCATATCCTGATTTATATTTTTTTAATTTTTAATTTCCATAGGTTTTTGGGGAACAGGTGGTATGAGTACACAAGTAAGTTCTTTAGTGGTGATTTGTGAGATTTTCGTGCACCCATCACCTGAGCAGTATACACTGAACCCAATTTGTAGTCTTTTATCCCTCACCCCCTTCCCACCCTCCCCACTGAGTCCCCAAAGTCCATGAAATCATTTTTATGCCTTTGCATCCCCAAAGCTTAGGTCTCACTTATGAGTGAGAACATACAAGTTTCATTTTCCATTCCAGAGTTACTTCACTTAGAATAATAGTCTCCAATCCCATCCAGGTTGCTGCAAATGCCATGAATTCATTCTTCTTTATGGCTGAGTAGTATTCCATTGTGTGTAGATACCACAGTTTCTTTATCCACTTGTTGATTGATGGGTATTTGGGCTGGTTCCAAATTTTTGCAATTGGCGAACTGTGCTGCTCTAGATATGTGTGTGCAAGTATCTGTTTCCTGTAATGACTTTTATTCCTCTGGGTAGATACCCAGTAGTGGATTGCTGGATCAAATGGTAGATCTACTTTTAGTTCTTTAAGGAATCTCCACACTGTTTTCCATGGTGGCTGTAGTAGCTTACATTCCCACCAGCAGTGTAAAAGTGTTTCCTTTTCACCGCATCCATGCCAACATCTATTATATTTTTATTTTTTGATTATGGCCATTCTTGCAGGAGTGAGATGGTATCACATTGTGGTTTTATTTGCATTTCCCTGATCATTAGTGATATTGAGCATTTTTTCATACGTTTGTTGGCCACTTGTATATCTTTTCTTGAGAATTTTCTACTCATGCCCTTAGTCCACTTTTTGAAGGGATAGTTTGTTTTTTTTCTTGCTAATTTGTTTGAGTTTGTTGTAGATTCTGGATATTAGTCCTTTGCCAGGTGTATAGATTGTGAAGATTTTCTCCCACTCTGTGTGTTGTCTGTTTACTCGGCGGCCATGTCCTGATCTACAAACAACACATAATCAACAATAGCCCATGGATAGCCTTTTAAAGTTTTTACCACTTTTCCATGTAGCATTTTTCATTTAATCCTTGTCATAACCCTGTGGGGTAAGCAGAGCAGATATTCTAGCCTCATTTTGTAGACAAAGAAACTGAGGTTCCCAAACGTAGAATGATATGTCTAAAGACACACAATTTGTCCACAACAGATTAGTCTAAACCCTGGACTTGTGGCTTCTAATCCAGTACTCTCTTCATGACACCCCAGTAGGACCTAAGGCTTAAGGCACCACCAACCAAAGCAGTTTAAGTGGAAAACTGCACATATATTTTGTACGAAGATGCACACACAGCAATTGCCCAGACTGAGGAGTCTGTGGATCACTTAAAAAATATTTGCTGCAAGAAGCTTGCTAGGCTCTGTATTAATCCTGAAGAAGACTGAAACATGAGCCATGTCCTCAGGGAGCTGACAATTCTGGGTGGGGCCTAGACTGTGAAGGGACTTCAGGCCACAAAATGCATTATCAGAAGTAGTAGTCATACCAGTTTAGAACCAGAGAATGAGGAGAGGAAAGAGTCAGAAGGAAGAAGTGGAGGCAGGTTGCTCCCAATCAGGGTGAGGGGAAGAAGGAGTTACAAGACCCTGGAAAGGGCACTAATGTGGGGAAGGGGGTGTCTTTTCTGCTATGTGTTACCATAAGTACACATGGTTAAAGTGGTTATTACTTACTATAAGTACTCGTGGTTAAAGTGGGTAACCATGTGTACATGGTAAAGTGGTTAAAGTGGTTACTATAAGACACGTGGTTAAAGTGGTTATATATGTGACCGAAGCAATGCAATTCATAGGCTAAATTAAAACACGTCAAAGATTAATTGGAGATAATTTTTCATTAGAAATGAAAAACACTGTCCAACTATGCTCAGGATTTTCTTCTGTTATTGAGAAGAGTTGCAAATGCCGGGTCACATTTTGTTCACTGTTGTTTTCCATGAACCAAAACCTTGGTCCATTATGTACGGATTATGAGGGGATCTATAGAGAGGCAATGCTTATTTTTTCTGTGCATCCGTGCTAGTGCCTAGGTGTTATCAGACTTTAAAATTGCTACTTAAATAATAAGTCTGAAGTAGCTTCAAATGGGTTTAATTTGTATCTCTCTGATGACTCATGAGGACTTTTCACGTGTTTTCTGACCATATGGACTTCCTTTTCTGTGAGTTGCTTGCTCCTAACCATTGCCCATTTTCTGCCATATTGTTTGCCTTTTTTCTTATACATCTGTAGGAATTTTAAAATACATATTATTTATACTAATCTTTTGTTCTAATCGTATATGCTTTGAATATTATTCTCTAGGTCTCTGGCTTTTCTTTCTTTCTTTCCTCCCCCTATCTTTTAAGTTCAGTTTATTATGGTATCAAGGAGATTTACAGCTAACACACTTACCACTCTGCTGACAGAATTCTAAACTTAAGAAAAGAAATTTTTCTTTCTGTTGAAGGTAGGTTTTCAGAAACTTAAATTTAAAATGATAGAATTACTTGAGCAATAGACCTCCTGTGCTGTTTCTCTCCAACCCGATAGCTAATGTAAGGTCTGATTCAAAAGGGAATTTGATTGGGATTATTCTTGAAGTCACTCATTTCTTATAAAGTTATTGATAAGACAAAATTTACCAAAAATAAAAGAGCTACGGGATTATCTTTATTCAGCAATGCTGTGTCCTTCCAAAAACATTTGGTAAAGACAACCAGGCTAGAGAGGTGGCAAAGCCTAGCCAGTCCTCCTCACCTGCGAAAGCCCAGTGGACAGAGAGTGTTTGGTTTTATTTAGTTGCTAACTACACATTGTGTGAGACTGGGTTCCCACTTACTGAAGACAACTGCAGTATAACTTCCCAAATTCAGGAGAAAGTGAAAGATAAAAAAGAGGGAAAGGAAGAGAGAGTGACAGATAAACTGTATTATGTCACTTGAATCTATTGGGTTATTTTTTAATCCAGGTATCAGAATTAGTAATTTTAAAAGAAAAACTGTGGCATTTAATTAGAACATGGATTAATCAACATCTCTTTCTTGAATAATGCAAACTAATGAGTGTTCGAGGGTGAAAATAAATTTGCCAGAGAAACAGAAACTGAACAAAAAATCACATTGTGACTGCCGCATCTCTTATATAAAAATATTTTAAAACTATTATAATAGTAAGTGTGTTAAAGTGATGTTATGGATCTTTCTCCCACTTAATAAATTTTCTCTATAATGATAGTCAATTATTATTTTTATAGTAACAAAATCTTTAAGGAAAACAGGTAGCATTATATTTCTGAAATCGATTAGCTCTTCTGATTCAAAGAAATATCTTTTCTGATATTTAGAAGACAATCACTTAAGAAATCAGTTTTAATAACAATTCCCCTCTCTGAAACAGAAAAAAAATACATTTTATATTTTGTCCCCTGAAAAAAATCTAAAAGTTGGCACGACTCTGAAAACACACGTGTGCTGTTTAACTTGTCGTCTATCAGTTTAATACTGGTGGCAATTGACAAGAACATATTAAGTAATAATTTTGTGGGGAAAAAGTTTGGAAAGCCCTGTCTGGTACTGTAGGTTTTGTGAAGCAGATTTTCATGCAGTTGGATTCCGACATCAACCTCCCAACACAGCACTTGGCCAGGCAGTTACCAGCATGAAAATCTACAGCTCACATTCTTCAGTTTAACAGGCCCACACACAAGGAAAACTATTGATACCAGGACTAAGCACTATTATAACAGGAAGGAATGACCACCTCTTCTGCTTAGGTGTAAGCAGAAGCTTAAACAAGCCATTTTTATAGTATAACCTAACATTTATAGCCAGCAAAAGAGTCCAGTCATTGAAATCCAGCTCTGTAATTCTTCATTCAGAATGACATTGTAGGAAAAACATCTTGTTTCACTCTGTCATTTGACATTTTTTAAATGAAGTAGGTGTGTTTTGTATTTGAATTTCAGCTGCACAGTCTTAGTACTGAGCTACTCACATCTACCATGGTAATCTGAAAATAAAACTGGCTATTTTCCCAGATACCTTGGTGTACAAAGCACAGCAAGTCAGAAGTAGAATGGGGATTGTGAACTTGAGAATTGTACTCCTGAAAGGGAGTTTAAGTAGTTAACCCCTTCCACCCTACCCTTTTATTTTCTAAACTGAGAATACCAAGGTTCAGAGCTGTCCTGCCTGAACTGGGTTGTTGGGGTGATCCACTGACTTTATTTATTTGTTTGTTTGTTTTATTTTTTGAAAGGAAGTCTCACTCTGTCACCCAGGCTGGAGTGCAGTGGCATGATCTCAGCTCACTGCAATCTCAGCTCACTGCAACCTCTGCTTCCCGGGTTCAAGCGATTCTCCTGTCTCAGCCTCCTGAGCAGCTGGGATTACAGGTGTGTACCACCACACCTGGCTAATTTTTGTATTTTTAGTAGAGATGGAATTTCGCCACATTGGCCAGGCTGGTCTTGAACTCCTGACCTGAAGTGATCCACCCACCTCGGCCTCCTAAAGTGCTGGGATTACAGGCATGAGCCACCACGCCCAGCCTCCATTGACTTTAACCAAAAGACGTGGAAGTACTGGGATGTCCTAGGGAAATCTCTGTATACCAGACAGACTTTTTGCCCCCCAGCGTGTAGTGTAACCCAATTTCCCCTTTGATAATCAGGACCAATCAGCCTAAATATAGTAACTCCTTTTCTATCTCTTTCCTTGCCTTTTAATTCGGAGTCATAAGTCTTGCTCAAGATCACTAAACTATTCAGTGGGAAACAGAACTAGAATTCAGGGTTCCTTGCCTCTCAATAATAATAAACACTATTTACTAATGCTTACTATATACCCTGCATTTTCTAAGCACGTTCCAAAAACCATCTCCTTTAATCCTTACAATAATACTTTTGGGGAAGATACTATTATTATCCCCATTTTACAAAAGGAAAAAATGAAACTGAGATGTGGAAAGCTCAAGTAACAAGATCGCACAGCTGGTCAGTGAAAGAGCTGCGATTTGAACCAAGGTTTGGATGCCAGGTCTCCACTCTTATACACTAGGTCATACAACTTCCTTCCGGTCAGTCCACATCTTCCAATTCAAAGATATTTTCACTTCACAAGCTAAAAGCAACTGACTATGAGATCCCTGAGGGCAGGAACCTCTTCCCTTTTATCTCCTGCTCCAGCACAGCACCTGACACAGAATCAGTATTTATTAAGAGTTTGACGAATGGAATTGAACCTCTCTAGGTAACAAAATTGGACAACTCCGATTTCCCACCTTGCTTTCTGGAGACCAGGCTCGGCTGGGCAGCAGAACTGCCCATTGCTGTGAGGTTTCTGAAAAAAAAAAATGGGCTCCACATTCCAAAGGATGGCCTTACGAATGGATCCCCATAATGCATCCTGTTAGAAAGTCCTGGATGGCCTATACCCAATAAGAAGACCAACCAATTTATCCAAAAATAAATAAATCAATAAGGCAGGAAGCTACCACACAATACACTCAGTAGGAGAACTGTGCATCATAACCCACCTGGAAGCCATGGGAAAGAACAGACTCTGAGAACTCTGATCTGCCCTCTGACTGATTAGGACTGAGAAATGGGTGCAAGAGAAAAGAAATCTTTGAGGGACCAGAAAAGCCTCATGCGCACCACTTTTTAAATGAGACTCCCATTCATCCATTTATTATTACTTCTGTTACAAAGGTTGTGATGAGAGTGGGAGATAGCCTGGTAGGCCATATTTCAGTGAGAATAACGTAGATCTTGAAATAATTCACATGAAAAAACCAATGAAGTGGCTTCCTTCAGTGTGTCTGTGTCTGTCTATGGTAGGCAAAAATCAATACCTAGTTCCTCTAGATTTTCTGAGGAATGCCTAAATAGGGCCTGGGTTGAGATTCTGCTAATAAAATACACATGTAGAAAACAGGCTTTTACAGCAACTCAATGTTCTCTGTGCTGATGTTGAAAAAGAGTATTAGTGCCCTCCTCAAAGAAAAACCCTGCACATCCAACTTTTTTGTTGTCATCCAGGCCACATGAGGCCTAAGTGATTTACTGAGATATACCTTACAATAATAGCTGTGACCATTAAAAACCCTACTATTATTACAAGGAGCCCTACACATATCATCCCATTTAGTCCTCCCACAAAACCTGCAAAGTAGACATGATTAATGGTATTTACAGAAGATCTGAAATTTAGAAAGGCTAAGATACTTGCCCAAGTTTGCACAGAAGAAATTAAAGCCAAAGCTAAAGCCAAAGACTTCCCACTTTGCCATATTGCCTCTGGACAGCGAGACCCCAGTCTTTATCCAGGTTACAGGCCATTATAAGCCCCACAGAAAATGAATTTGCCATATAAGAAATGGGCTGGGATCACAACTATTTATGAGTATCATATCTTAGATACATGTTAGCTAAGGTCTGAAAGTACAAAAACCATAGCATCTCATTGCAAAAAGATGATATAATTCAACACCTTCATTTTACAAAAGAAGAAACTGAAGCCCAGGGAGGTAAACCATATTTTAGTACAACCAACATTTGTGGTACACCCACTATGGGCAGAACTTTGTGCCAGATTGCACATTTAGTAGGGGAGATAAAGAAACTATGCCAATTGTTAAAGTAATGAGCAGAAGAGTTGTAAGGCACCATCTTCTAGGAATCTCTTCTAAGCAAACATCAAAGATGTTGTCAGATTTACATGCAAACAAGTTCACTGTAGTATTATTTATAATAGAAAAATTTGATAGAAAACTAAATGTCTAACAATATCAACATGGATAATTACATCAATTATGTCACTATAGTCATGTGCTATATAATGGTGTTTGAGTCAACAAACTACATATACAACCGTGGTCCCATAAGATTATAATACTATATTTTTACTGTAACTTTTCTACATTTAGATACACAAATCCTTACCACTCTGTTCCCATTGCCTCCAGTATTAGTATAGTCACATGCTGTACAGGTTTATAGCCTAGGAGCAACAGGCGATACCATGTAGCCTAGGTGTGTAGTAGGCTGTACCATCTGGGTTTGTGTGGGTACACTCTATGAGGCTTGCACAGTGATGAAATTGCCTAGGGAAGTCCTTCTCAAGCATAGCCCCATCATTATGTAATGCATGACTGGATATAGTGGAATGTTGAACAACCATTCAAATCATATTTTATAAGAATATTTTAATCATCTGAACAAATGTTCTTAATATAATGATAAGTGAAAACAGCAGGATACAATATTGTATATACAGATTGAACATAATTTCAGACCATTTTCAACCAAAATGTTAACAGTGGCCAATTCTAGGGAGTGGAATATGGGTGATTATTATTTTCTTCTTCACACTCCCTGTATTTCCCAAATTGTCCACAATGAGCATGTATAACTTTCATAATTAGCTAAACAAGCAATATATATATTATATATATATATATTTTTTTTGAGACAAAGTCTTGCTCTGTTGCCCAGGCTGAAGTGCAGTGGTGTGATCTTGGCTCACTGCAACCTCCGCTTCCCAGGTCCAAGCAATTCTCCTGCCTGAGCCTCCCGAGTAACTGGGATTACAGGTGTGCACCACCATGCCCGGCTAATTTTTTGTGTTTTTAGTAGAGATGGGGTTTCACCATGCTGGCCAGGCTGGTCTTGAACTCCTGACCTGATGATCTGCCCACCTCGGCCTCCCAAAGTGCTGGGATTACAGGCGTGAGCCACCGCGCCCGTCCCACAAGCAATATTTTTTTAAAAGTGCTTGGCAACCTCTTCACAGATTACTTTCCACTGGCACCATCTTCAAGTAAGGGACTATAAGTAAGGAAAAATAGATGAGGGCAAATAACCTAAGGATATAAACTTCATTCTTTTTGCATCAGGGTGTTGTTGAAGGCTCCTGAGCAAAGAGATAATAACCACAGTTGGGCTTTAGGAGGAACATCTGCCGTGGGGCAGAGAATAGGGAGGAAGGGACTGAAAGCAGAGGCCAATCAGGCTGTGACTGCAGTGGTCAGGGCAGCTGGTGGCTCATGAAGGCTGAAGCAGGTGAATGCTGTGGGGAGAGAGAAAGGGACTGTGTCACAAAGGCCTAGTGCTGGCTCTTTGTGGAGATGAAGGAGAAGCCACCCAGCTGGGAAAAGGAAATGCTGAACATCAGTTACAGTGCAATTTCCACATGGCCCCTGAGACTTTGTACTAAATAAATGAAACATAGGCATGGAAGACAAAATGTGAATTAATAAACCTCCTACAAGAACTATTTCTCCTTAGCTTAAGAAGCCAGGAGCTGCCATCTGACTCATGGTTAATTTCATTCTGGTCATTCTGAATTGCATTACTGACATCATGGCTGTGCAGTGGAAGATGTAATAGTATCAATACTCTAATCACTCCTAGCCATGCCCAGCATGGTTCCCGGACAGAAAAGAAGAGCTGGCAAATGTCTCAACATTTATTGTTTTCATCCTCTTCTTGCTCTTGCCCATTTTTTTTTCTTTTTTAGCTCTGGAATTTGCAGTTTTCCTTAACAACTGACTATCAGAGTCACACCAAGGAGGTCTTAAAAATACGGAGAGAAACAAAGCTACTGGAAATATGCACAATGATATATTCATAGTGCCATCTGTAGGCAGTGGAATTCATGGTAATGGGTACTGCTTCTTTCTATTTAGCCATGTTTCTCAAGACTTTTCCAATTAATGTGTATTAATTTTGGAAAGAGAAAAAAAAGATAATATTAAAATGTCAAACCATGCCAAAAAAAAAAAAAGTTTTTTTAACGGTGGCTGGGGCACCAGAGCTGCAATGGGAGCATTTGTGTTTATGGTTGACTCTAGTTCCAATATTGGCAAGCAAGTCGCTTAAACATAGCAGCTGCAATTCAGACAAATCTATTCTCCCACCTGTTCTCATTTCAGAAGCCCCTGCACTATGGCTCCTTTTAGGTCCTAGGACTTCTTCAACTGTTCATAGCCTCAGCTCATCCTCCACCGGACATTTCCATCATCCTTGAACATCTCACATGGGATATTTGAGTTTTAAACTGTCTCTTTCCTTTTGGACAAAAAAGCTTTGCCCCATTAAAGAATTCTTGCTATTTGGCAGGCTTTCTATTGTTGCAATGATGATGATGATGATGACGACGATGATGACAATGTTACTGTTTTGAACTGGGAGTTTCCCTTACTCCCTAAAATTACACGTACAGATTGCCTATCATCTCAAATAAGGGCATATGTAGTATATAAACAAATGGTAATACATCTTTATGAGCTGCAAGACTAATCAATGTCTCAGAAGAACTAGAACAGTTAGTTTCCTAAGGTGTAAGAACATATGGCAATACTGAAGATTCACTCTTTCGACCAAAATTTACTGACCTTAATGATATGCTAGGCACTGTGCTTGGGATTGAGGTAGAGCCAGGGATGCCAAGATGAACAAGACAGGGCACTTACAGCCAGTGGCAGAAAGAGAATCCAGCTCTTGTGTTTCAGAATGATAAATGCCGGAATGAAACTCCCCCCAAAAGGCACTTTGGGGAGCTCAAGGCAGGGCACAACTAGCTGAATAGAAGAACAGCAAGGCTTTTGCAGGAGCTGATGCAGCTAGTTCCAAAGGATGAATGTGATTTTCAAAGAGCTGTAGGTATACCTGGTAGAGGGGCAGTGCATGTGGAGATCAATAATCTCACAGGCTAGGTGGAATGTAGGAAAAGGATTTGGAAGGTGATCAAGCTGATAAGTCATGTTGAGAAGTTTGAACTTCATATTACAGACCATAAAGAGTCATCGAAAGCTTTCAAGCAAGGAATAACCTGGACAGTTTCCTATTTTAACCATGTGGGACATGGGCTAGAAAAGGCAGAGAAGAAAACAGGCAAAAGGATGCAGAAGATAACTTTAGAAAAGAAGCTCTCAATGGGTGTGGTATTGCCTCCTAAGCAATGTTCTAGAAATTTTTGAGATGTCTTGACTGTCAAAACAGTTGGGGGACACAGTGTCATTTAGTTGTCAGAGGCTAATAATGTTAGATGTACTGCAATGGGCAGCACGGTCACATATGAGGAAGAATTCGCTTTCAAATATACAACCAGACAATCACACAGGTCAAAAACCTGTTAATAATGATCTCAGCATCCCAGAACACAATACCATTTTGCATATAAACATAAAGTACTATGTATAAATTTTATATGTGCTATAAAGATTGATATGTAGATCAATGGAATAAAATTAAGAGTCCACAAATACATCCTTACATTGTTAGGCAACTGATCTCAATGCCCAACAATGTGAGGGTGTATTTCTGGACTCTTAATTTTGTTTTAAGTTTTATTAAACTTATTAATGTAAGAGTGTATCTCTAGACTCTTATTTTTCCTATTGAATTGTCTTGACACTAAGACACCAATTGTCTTGACACCAACACAATTCAGTAGGGAAAAGATCAGTATTTTCAACAAATGGTGCTGAGTCCACTAGATACACACATGATAAAGAATGAAGGTGGACCCTTACCTCAGTTGTTATTCAAAAATTAACTCAGAATGGATTAAAGACCAAAACATAAGAGCTAAAACAATAAAATTCTTGGAAGAAAATATAGTCATAAGTCTTTGTAATTTTGGATTAGGCAATACGTTTTTTAGATATGATATCAAAAGCATAAACAATAAAAGGAAAAATAGATAAATTAGACTACTTCAAATCCAAAAAACTTTTGCACTTCAAATGAAACCTTTAAGAAAGTGAAAAGAATGAAATCTTTAAGAAAGTGAAAAGGAAAAGCACAGAATGGTTTATATTGCAACACATATATCTGAGAAGGATTTAGAATCCAGAATATATAAAGAATCTTATGACTCAACAATAAAAAGAGAAATAACCCATTTTTAATGGGCAAATGATTTGAATAGATATTTCTTCAAAGGTATGTACAAATGGCCGATAAAGATGCTCAAGATCTTTAGTCATTAGGGAAATAAAAGTAAAACCACAATGAGATACAACTTCACACCCTTTAGGATGGTTGTAATTTTAAAAAGATTAACAATAACACATATTGAGGAAGATGTAGAGAAACTGAAATCATCCATTGCTGGTGGGAATGCAAAGTGGTGCTGCTGTCTTGGAACACAGTCCAGCAGTTCCTGAAAATGTTAAACATTGAGATGCCATATGACACAGCACTTCCACTCCCAGTATGTATCCAAGAGACCTGAAAACGAATGTCCACACAAAAATCTGTACACGAATGCTCACAGCAACATTATTCATAATATCCAAAAAGTGGAAACAATCCAAATGGTATCAACTGAATACTATGAATGAGTGAACAAAATATGGTATAGCCATATAATGGGATATTATTCAGCCATAAAACAGAAATGAAGTTCTGATATGTGATACAACATGGATGAACTTTGACAACGTTATGATAAGTGAAAGAAGCCAGATACAAAAGGCCACATATAATATTACTGAATTTATGTGAAATGTCCAACATAGGCAAATCCATAAAGAAAGAAAGTAGATTAGTGGTTACCAGGAGTTGGGGGAGGAGCAATGGAGAGTAACTGCTCATGGGTATGGGATTTTTGAGGGGGTAATTACAATGTTCTAAAATTAAATCAGTGTGATAGTTTCACAATTCTGTGAATATACTGTACTAAAAAAACACTGAAATATATACTTTAAAAGGATGAATTTTATAGTATGTGGATTACACTTCGCTTTTAAAAAATATATGTGCTGAATTTTTCAGAAAGGCAACCAATATACAAATCAAGGAAAGATGGTTGGGCGCGGTGTCTCATGCCTGTAATCCCAGCACTTTGGGAGGCCTAGGCAGGCAGATCACCTGAGGTCAGGAGTTCGAGACCAGCCTGGCCAACATGGTGAAACCCCGTCTCTACTAAAAATATAAAAATTATTCAGGCATGGTGGCAGGAACCTGTAATCCCAGCTACTCAGGAGGCTGAGGCAGGAGAATTGCTTGAACCTGGGAGGCGGAGGTTGCAGTGAGCCGAGATCACACCATTGCACTCCAGCCTGGGCGACAAAAGCGAAACTCTGTCACCAAAAAAAAAAAAAAAAAAAAAAAAATTCAAGGAAAGATGGCATTAGGTTTAGTTTGAAAGATTACAAGAGTCGTTTACCATTTCAAAAAACCACTTCACCACAAACCCTGTGCAGTAGTATTTGAATCACCAACACCCACACTTTACGGTTTATGGCTATTGAGATCTCAGTGACTCTATGCATAGATGCAAGTTTAAGTATTTCATTATATCATTCTTGTGCATTTACAGCTTAAAGAGTATTTTTTACTACAAATTAATTGCCTTCTAGTTCTTCTTCATATTATAGTAAGTGCACTATATTGATTTTTCTTGAATAATGTTTGTGGGTTGGTTATATTATCTATGAACTTCATTTCAGCTTAGAAATGGGCAGAATGCCCCATCACATTTATAATGCAACGTGTGCTGTTAAAAAGGTGGCATTAAGGCTAATAGAATTGAGGACCACTGACTTATTTTCAGGTCAACCCTTCATTACACACACATGTCCAATCACAACCATCATTTAATTATAGCTCAGGGTCTTCCTCTTTTCCCCTCTGCACATAAAATTACAAACAGATAAAACCACAGCAGCCACAGCTTTTGGCATTTCCCTAGACTAAAGCTTTCACCCATCAGACCTCTGCCCCTGGAATTATAAAGATTTACTTGTAAAGAGTTTAAATTGCTTTCCATCCTCACTGTCATTCAGTTTCCCCATGCCTCCATGGTTTGAGAGGTGATTTTTAGCTGATTGATCTAGATATGTTTTCTCCCCTGCTTATGTTAAAAAAGTAAAATGTGGAGGTGACCTGGGGAACCATTGTTTATTCTCAAAGGATGCAATCTTCGTGTCACTGTTCAAGCAAAGTGCCTCTCCCCAGGGCATCGGGTAGCTCTAACTGTTAGCATTTTTAATTTCTGCGGTCATAAGTGTCACACTGGCGATATTTAAACAAACTTCCTCAGCTTGGGCTTATATAAGAGCTATAGAGGAGCAGCCTGGATTGCAGAGAGGGGATTGGCCCACCATTCAAAAGGCTGGGCGTGGTGGCTCACGTCTGTAATCCCAGCACTTTGGGAGGCCGAGGCGGGTGCAATCACAAGGTCGGGAGATTGAGACCATCCTGGCCAACATGGTGAAACCCTGTCTCTACAAAAATACAAAATGTTAGCCAGGTGTGGTGGTGCGCGCCTGTAGTCCCAGCTACTCAGGAGGCTGAGGAAAGGGAATTGCTTGAACCCGGGAGGCAGCGGTTGCAGTGAGCCAAGATCGTGCCACTGCACTCTAGTCTGGCAACAGAGCAAGACTCCGTCTCAAAAAAAAAAAAAAAAAAAGAAGAAGGCCGGTGTCCCAGTCTGGATTCAGCCTGTATTATATTGAACTAGTCACTTTCTCTCTCTCCAAACCTCTCTTTTTGTGTCTGTAAGATGAGGATATTAATGCCTACATTTCCTGTCTTACAGACTCATGATAATCAAATGTGAAAATATTTATAGTGTTTTATGTCTATTCATTTATTTATTTCTATGTCCCAAGTGCCACCTACTTACCAGCAGATCCTGACTTGGTATCAGGGACACTACAGTGCCCACAACAGACACACTCTGCCTTCATGGAACTCAGAAACTAAAAGAGACACAGACTCTAATGAATAATGACACAATTAATTAATTTATTACATAACGTGCTCCAAAGGAAAAGTGCAGAGTGCTATAATAAAAGTTTATAGTGGTGACATAGGATCTAAACTCATTCACAGATGAGAAGTGATGCTCAGAGTGAGACCTGAAGGGTTAGTCAGAGCAGCCTAACCAGGAATTGCAAAAATATGGTCTAACGGTTTTCTTTAAAATACTGATTCTTGAATTCCACTCCCAGAGATGTGGACTCAGAAGCTCCATGAAAGAGCCTGAGGAGCTGCATCTGTGCTTTTATTTTGTTAAGTTTCCCAGTTGATTCTCAAGTGCAGCCAGGCATGGGAACAACTAAGCTAGGCAAAGAGTGGGGAAGAATAAAACAGAAGCAGCAGCTACTGTGAAGACCCAGAGGTGGGGCAGAGCCTCACTGCTAGATGCAAACCAACTGCAGCACAGGTAGAGGCATCTTCTGGAAGCTTCTTAGTAGAATCTCAGGCCCCATTCTAGACCTAAGGAGGCAGAAACTGCATTTTCACAAGATTCCCAGGTGGGTTTGTGTTTATTTATTTAAGCCACAGGCTCCACTTCCAGTGATTTTTTTTTTAATGTCTGTTAAAATACCTAGAAGCACTGGGTAGGAGAATTGAAAGAACCTTGAAGGAAGAGTCCTGGCTTATCTGTTCTGGTATCCTTAGCTCCCAGCACATATAAGGCACTTGGTAAATGTAGCTTAAATCATATTGCACAAATGTATTTTTATTTTGTGGGAGCTGCCAAATTCAAAGATTACCAAGATTGATGAAAAATTAATACTTCTTCATATGGAAATGGGCAAAGACATATTCTACTGAAGAGTGGTGAAACTGGCACAATCTTTTGAGAGGGCAGTCTGGCAAAGGGCACTAGAACATAAAACATGCATGCCCATTAACTTGGTAACTCCCCTCCAAGGAGCTTAGCCTAAGGAATTACATAGGCAGGTCTGCAAAATATATGTCCACCGTAGCATTGCTTATGAGAAAAAAATAATGAGAATAGCTTCAATTTCCATTAAAAGGCAATTAAACCATCGTTGTACATAAAATGAACAATCCTGCAGCTCTTTAAGATGACACAGATGACATATACTCTCTTGGATATGTGATATCGCTGATACATTAGGTTTTAAAAAGGTCATAAAATAATATCTCAGTTTTGTGATATGTATTTCTTCCACCTCCTTCACCTCTTCCACCTTTGCTACCCCTGAGAGAGTAAGACCAACCCCTCCTCTTCCTCCTCCTCCTCAGACTACTCAACACAAAGACTATGAAGATGAAAATATTTATGATGATCCACTTTCACTGAATAGAAAATATATTTTCTATTTCTTATTATTTTCTTAATAATTACATTTTCTTCTCTAGCTTATTTTATTGTAAGAATACAGTATATAATATATATGACATACAAAATATGTGTTGACCATTTATGGTGTTGGTAAGGCTTCTGGTCAACAGTAGGCTATTAGTAGTTAAGTTTTTGGAGAGTCAAAAGTTATATGCAGATTTTAGGCTGCACAGGGGTTGGCACCCCTAGCCCCAGTGTTGTTCAAGGGTCGACTTTATTTACAATTGGTATATATTTTTTGTTTATAGGAGATAAAAAATATTTTCTTTTCATAAAAGAAAACAAAACCCTCCACTTCAGAAGGTGGAAACTACTCTATTTGGCTCATAGAATCTGCAGGACACAGTGAAGAGAATGAAAAGGAAGAGAGAGGAAAAGGAGAAGAAGGAAGGGAAAGAGGGGAAGGGGTATGGTGTCTTGACAATCTTACATCTCCATCCAGGTAGACCCAGCCATGGCTGCACATTAGAATCACCTGGGAAGGCTTCTGATGTCTCTGATGCCAGGTTCCCACTCAGACCAATTCAATATAAATCTCTTGGAAATATGGCTGGACATTATTATTTTTAAAAGCTCCCCAGGTGATTCTAATGTGTATAAGGGCTGTGAGCCCTTGGAGACTGGCCTGACAGACCAAGAAGACCTGTCCATCATCTACCTGCATGTGATGTTGTTCACGGTGCCACAGCTCTCACCAACAATACCAATTCAAGTGCACCCTGTAGGGAGAAAAAAAATAACTGGAGACGTGAAAGACTGATCAAATCACCCTCTAAGGCAAGCTGTCCATCAGTATGAAGGGCCTCCCCTCAGTTGCTCTGAAAGTCGGAGCACAGGGGACCAGCATGGGTTGACAGTGGGATTACTCCAGGAGGCAGCTTGGAGATCTGATTGTTTGGGAGCAGGAAGAACTTCTGTTTAAAAGTACAATGCTAGGTTTCATATCTTGAGAAATTATAAAATTCCTTCTTATCTCTTTCTCCTTCTCTGTTCATACCACCATATAAACTTTTTCCCGTTAAACAAGTCAGTGGAAATGGAAACACTATATCAAGGTTCTGGATAGTTTAAGTACCAGCAGGTTGGCTTTACTGGCATGGGTCAATCACCATTGAGACCTACCAAGTCCAGGGTGTGTCACAGGGAAATTGGAAGCATCAAGGAGACCCCAACACAAATGCCCTTTCTCTGCATAGTTTTCACTGTCCTAAAAAAAGTTCCCCTCAGTCATTTATCAACCTGCTTTCCAACAGACTCCTACTTTCCAGGTCACTGGAAATCCTGGTGTGCTCCTCTCCACCAGGTAACATTAGATTCTGTCTGCTTCTGTCTGAGAGCTGGGTGAGTCTTCATCTCCAGCTGAGATAAGATCACCATTTGTGATTAGATGGGCAGCCTGCTAGCTGACAAAGTAACAGAATTTCTTCTCTTCTAATGCCAAAAAGGATTGCCTGGTAGACCAGTATTTCAATTTGGTTTTTCTTGGTTAGATACACTTCTGTTTTCTTTGTTCATGTCCAGTGGTTAAAGCAGGGTTTCCTGCTCAGATAAGTCCTAAGTCATTAAAGGGCAGCAGAGGAAGGCAACTCCATAAAATGTTAACAGTTTTTGGGAGGCTGCTGGCCACAAGGCACTGTGCTCAGCTTACTATGAGTTAACATAAAGTTGGTTTATTCAAAACTGTGCTTAGGAAAAAGTGACAGTCTCCCAAGCCATAAATAATTAAATATCTTTTCTTTAATAATAATATCAGCTAATGTGAACCTAATTGAAAAGTTTTCTTGGCAGGAGAAGAAGACTTAAAATTAAATAGCAAAGATTGAGGTGGCTATAACTTTAGGACCTTTAGCCAAAGGCACTTTTGTTTATATGGCATATGTTTTGTTACCAGTGATGGGAGAACCAGGGTAGGGTGGAGGGAAAAATAATAGGAAGAAAGAGACAGCAAAGAGTAGTTTGGGATAAGGTCTTAAGGATGTTAAGAATGAGTATATGCTTGATACCAAGTTAAGCTCTTCCAATTTGGCCAATTAAACTCTACAGGGACAGCCCACATCATCCACACATGTAGCATGATGTTCATCACCAACCACTGTTCTCCTGTTACTACATTAATAATAGAGGAAGGGAAAAAGACTCTGGATAAGGGTGAAGGAGAAAAGATAGGCTTTCAGATCCAATTTGGAAAGAGATGAAGAGCCAAGAGTAGATGGCAGAGGGGTTGGGGGAGGCGTTCACTGCTGGTGACCAGAGCACATGGCCACGGAAGCTGGCATCCTGGCTCTTCCAATGCTAGCTTCAGAGACTTGGATAAATTCTCCAGCTAGCCTGACACCCAATGTCCTCTTCTGTAAAGGATACCACACCTTTCTGGTGTTGTTTCTAAAATTTATGAAGCGCAGACTCTGCAGCTATGCTGTACAGTATAATAGCCACTGGCCACATGTGACTATTTAAATTCAAATTAATTAAAATTAAATTTAAATGTAAAATTCAGTTCTTCAGTTGCACTAGACACATTTCAAGTGTTCAATAGCCACATGTAGCTAGTGGCCACTGTATTAGACCGCACAGAAAATATTTTCATCATCACAGAATGTCTACTAGACAGTGCTGCCCTACAGTCCAGTCCCTAATCTGCTCTGAATGGAGTCATGTGCCAGCTCTGACAGCAGCTGTGTCACTTTTAACAAATGTTAACTGCTCTGTGCCTCAGTTTCCTCATCTTTACCTTGGGAGTGGTTAAAAATAGTATCTCTCTCACAGGGTTGTTGTTAGAATATACAGACAGCCCTAACTTAAGATGGTTCTACTTAATGACATTTCCACTTTTATGGTGCAGACATGATACACATTCAGTAGAAACCATACTTCTCCTACAATGCTGGGAAGTGGCTGTGAGCCACAGGTCCCAGTCAGTCATGTACTTTCAACTTGGGACATTTTAAACTTATGATGGGTTTATCAGGTACCTTATCATAAATCAAGAACTGCATATAAATCAGTTAAAATCATGGCAGGTACATAGTAAGCATCATATAAGTGACACTGTTATTTAGGCGAGGATTATCTAGGCTTGTTTAAGCACTATAATTTGGATCTCAGATATATAGCCTTTTAATCTCTCAGTTTTTAGCCTCCCAAAAAGAGGCTCTTCTCTTTTGTGTGTGTGTCTGTGTGTGTGTGTCTATTTTACCTTTTTTCTGCTTGCAACAGAGTGACACCCAGAGTTCAGAAAAATGAGGCTCTTTCAGTCCTGTAATGTGTCCCGAGAGGAGTTCACCCCTTTTTATTTGGAGATTTCTCACTAAGTGAATAGAATGGGGACCCTGGCCAGACCCAAATCACAGGCAGGGAGGATCTACCAACTCTCACCTATGACAGGCAATACAAATTAAGCACGCTCAATACTAGGCTCCGAATGTGGAGGCTTATTTATTAAAATACTCTTCAGATGTCTAAATAGAAAATGCAGGCCCGGGTGTGGTGGCTCATGCCTGTAATCCCAGCACTTTGCAGGACTGAGGCGGGTGGATCACAAGGTCAGGAGTTCGAGACCAGCCAGGCCAACATAGTGAAACCCTGTCTCTACTAAAAATACAAAAATTAGCCAGGCATGGTGGCACATGCCTGTAGTCCCAGCTACTTGGGAGGCTGAGGCAAGAGAATCACTTGAACCCAGGAGGTGGAGATTGTGGTGAGCAGAGATCACACCACTGCACTCCAGCCTGGGCAACAGAGCAAGACTCCATCTCAAAAAAAAAAAAAAAAGAAAGAAAGAAAGAAAGAAAATGCAGTTTAGCCCATCCCCTTTCCCAACCCTCTTGGTCCTGGAGAGACTGTGGTTCTTTTTGTTTTTGTTTTTGTTTTTTTTCTTTTGAGATGGAGTTTCACTCTTGTTGCCCAGGCTGGAGTGCAATGGGGCGATCTCGGCTCACTACAACCTCTGGGGTTCAAGCGATTCTCCTGCCTCAGCCTCCCGAGTAGCTGGGATTACAAGCATGCGCCACCACTCCCAGCTAATTTTGTATTTTTAGTAGAGACTGGGTTTCTCCATGTTGGTCAGGCTGGTCTCAAACTCCCAACCTCAGGTGACCTGCCCACCTCAGCCTCCCAAAGTGCTGGGATTACAGGAGTAAGCCACTGCACCCGGTGGAGACTGTGCTTCTTAAAGACAGAGGGACCGTGACCTCATGGATCTCTTTAACGCAGAGCATAGTAAAATGGCCTCTCCTTGGGCTGGTTCGAGACACTAGGCATCTTGGCCCTCTCTTCCGGAGGAGGCATAAAACAATAGTAGCAGGTCCAGCAGCCTGGCTTGGCACAGGGATTTTATGTCATCAACCTGAGCTTCAGATCTGAGAGAGTGACTGTCTCAGACAGGTCAACCCCACACGTGACTCAAAGAGCAAAGATGACCCAACAGTCCAGATAGACCTGAAAGTTTATAAACCATCTAGCCCTCTGCTTTAAGGAATATTTTTATTCTTGTTCAGGTTTGTCAAGCAGAGTTTCCCATTTCTTTTTCAGGTTAAACCTCTTTCCCCTTCTAGATCACTCTTTCAGCAAAGAGATTCTAGGCATCATGGCAAACTGGATTCTTGATGATGACTCACACTGTCCTCTGCATACTCACATCTAAATATCACTCTGTGATTTCATCTAGTAGTAGAAACCACGTTAAGGACTGAAAATGTAGCAGCATTAAAAATCTTCTAAAGGACATGTCCTTCCGAAGATCTTTTGAAATCTTCTTATACTAAAGAAGAAAAAATCAGAATAGCTTATTCCTAAAAGAATGATATGAGGTCACCGTCAACCTTGCATGTGGACATGCACACACAACCCACGGCTTTCACTGTTGTGAGACGAAATCCAAATCTTTTTAAGAAGGAGGACTTGAACAACACTGAGTGCTTGAGATGGGCCAAGTGAGAGAGATGAAGGCTTGAAATATGTTCATTGGATTTAGCAAAATGGTAGCTGTTGATGACCTCAGCAAAAGGAGCTGTAGTGGCAAGGGACATGCAAGAGGCAGAATGGGGAAGGCCAATGGTTGACAAGCTGTGAGAGAGCAGACACAGTCCAGGAGAGAGTAGCTATAGAGTGGCCTGGTGCCGGTGGGTGCTTTTACTTGCTAGTTTTGTGAGATGGACCTGTTGAGGATACTTAGAATTCTTAGGACAGTCCATGAAATTAACACAATTAGTTGCCTCTGGGAGAGTCAATGAGAGGAGAAAGAAAACCAAGCTATTAGAAACCAATGTCACGAAACTGAGGTCTTTGCTTCAGGGGCAGATTCCATCTTTCCAGTAAAGATGTTGGCTCGAGCTTTGTGTAGCAACTGGGAGAATCCTGCCTCTTGGCTCCTGGTGATTCGATTCTGCTGTTTTAAAGCTGATTCTGTAACCAAGTAAGAGCTTTCCCTAGGCCTAAAAAATTGTATCTCCAAAGTGGAAAGAAAGCTAATGATAATTTAGGCAAATCTAATTCAGTGGAGGCTACAGACCCTAAAACAGTTCACCGTAACGGAGATGCGTAGAAGCATAACTACAAAAACCGAGGATATTTCTGCATGATCAGGAACAGGAGCATGCACGTTATTCTGGGAGCTTCTGTGTTTTGTTTGGGGTTTTAGTTACATAATTCTTTTCTGATTTTAAAGGAATAGATCCTGACCACAGAAAAGATAAAAATATTAGGTTGGTGCAAGAGTAACTGTGGTTTTTTGCAATTTTAATTGCAATTACTCTTGCACCAATCTAATAGATATCATTCCTAATCCCACCACTCATAGATTCCCCATTTTTAACATTTTACCATACTGCCTTTAGAAGAGAATAAAATTAAATCATATTTTTTATTGCTGTAGTTGTTTTAATTTATCCTGAGTAATTTCTCATGTAATTACACATTACCTTTTTGGAGACAAGGTCTTGCTCTATGACCCAAACTGGAGTAAGTGGTGTGTAAATCACAGCTCACTGCAGCCTCAAACTCCTGGGCTCAAGCAATCCTCCTGTGTCAGCCTTCTAAGTAGCTAGGACTACAGGTGTGCCACCATGCCACCTTATTTTTTTTTCTTTTGATAGAGATGGGATCTTGCTATGCTGCCCAGGCTGGTCTTGAACTCCTGGCCTCAAGTGATCCTCCCACCTTGGCTTCCCAAAGTGCTGGGATTACAGGTGTGAACCATAACACCTGGCCAATAAGTATTATTTTTAAACAATATTTTAACAGTTGCTTAATATTTTATTCTTTGAGTGCCTGATAATCCATTTAACTGTGTCACCATATTGAGAAATGTAGGTTGTCTCCAACTTTTACCACTGTGAGTAATATTACAATTAATGCCCTTGAAATAAATCTTTTTCTGCACCTGATAATTTCCACATGATGTAGTTACTTTCCAAAAACATTTATATCAGTTTATATTCCCACTATCACTGTGTGGATGTATCCTTTCTTTGACATCCCACTAGCAAAGAGTACTTTTATTTTTTTAACCTTTGCCATGTCAATAAGTGAAAACATCTCCTTTTCTTGGCATTTCCTTGAATATTAGTGATAACTGATATATTTTTACATATTATTGAATATTTATATTCACATAAACAATTGTTCCTTACCTGGCTCTATGAGGAATACATTCAAACTTAAGAGCTTGCAGTCTGGAAAAATTTTAACTCAACAGTTTAGAAGCAAGCACTAATCAGTTGAATAGCTTGAAGGCTGGATATTCATTTAAAAAGTCACCAGACAACATCTGGCATTCCTTTGTGAGCAAGGGCTGTTAGCATTGAAAGATGTTCTCCTAGCTTTCAGATTTCCTAACGGAAAGACATGATGATAGGAAAGGAACCTGCCTCAGAGAAGAATTCTCTGGACCATGGATCCAAAATGTACCCTGAGGGCCTGTGCAGCACCATCCTCAAAGGAGACACCAGAAGCTAGAAATGAACAGTGCACTCCTGGGCGATGCAAATCTCTATTTTTCCAAAAACGTTTTAAATTCCCAGACTGTCAAAAGTCTCAACTATTTTCCTGCCAGATGAAAAAAAAAAAAGAAGCAAACTAAAAATCAAAAATATACCTTTTATGTTGCATCCTCTATGATTTATGAGATTTTCACTGCTCTGATTGGGTAAAAGACTGAGGCTCCAAGGAGCTACATGGAACTTCTACATTGATAAGTATAGCTCTAAACCTAACTAAATTTTAATATTTTAATATTATGGTAGTCCTCCCTTATTCACAATGTTGCTTTCCATGGTTTCAGTTACGCATGGTCATCTGAGGTCCAAAAATATGAAATGGAAAATTCCAGAAACAAACAACTCATAAGTTTTAAATTGCATGCTGTTCTGAGTAGCATAATGAAATCTCACACCATCCCACTCTGTCCCACCCAGGACATGAATCATTCCTTTGTCCAAGGTATCCACACTCTGTACTACCCCCCACCCCGCCACTTAGTCACTTGGTGGCCATCTCAGTTATCAGATCGACTGTACATTGTATTACAGGGCTTGTATTCAAGTCATCCTTATTTTACTTAATACTGGCCCCAAAGTACAATAGTAGTGATGCTAGAATACTGTTATGTATCCTATTTTAATATTAGTTATTGTTGTTAATCTCTTACTGTGGCTAATCTATTAATTAAACTTTATCATAGGTATGTACATATAGGAAAAAACTTTAAGTATATATAAGATTCAGTACTATATGCAGTTTCAAGCATCTACTGTGGAGGTCTTGGAAGGTAGCCCCTGCAGATAAGGGGAAAATACTATATGATATTGTAGATTTTAAACTCGTGTTTCCCTTAACTTAATGAATATAAGAGGATTTTTAAATAGAGATAATTTATCTATAATTAGATACAAAATTCCTACCTTCAAGGAGTTTGCAGTCTAGAGGGAAGAGACAGACATAAAAATATAAACAATTAAATGTCAAATCAAGATAAATTACTCGAAACTAAATAAATAAGTAAATAAGTGAATAGATGGATACATAGACGATAGACAGACACAGATAGATGACTGATAAATACACAGATAGGTAGATACATAGATAGATGCACAGACAGATACATAGGCAGATAATGAGGAAAAGAGTACAAGAGACCACAGAGAGGCCAGGGCCACTTTTAGCTCAGGTGGCCCAGGAGGACCTCTCTCTGCAAAGATGACATTTCAGCTGAGACTGGAAGCATGAAGAGTAAGTCATGCAAAGACCTGGGGCAAGAGATTCCAGATAGAAGAAACAAGTGCAAAGGCCCTGAGAAAACAGAGAGCTTGATGTATTTCAAGAATGGAAAGGAAGTCAGTGTGGCTGAACCAAGGAGGGTGGTAGGAGATGAACTCGGAGATGAAGTAGACATCAGATTATGTAGGGCCCTGGAGGACATTTTGAGGACCTTGGATTTCATTTCATTTGCGATACAAAACCATTGGAGGGCTTTAAGAAGAGATCCTAGCTCTCAAGTGTTTAACAATCTGCACAAGGCAATTGACGAATACACGTTGAGTTGAGGGTCCTACAGGAAATCAGAGAAGAGGAGGCTCCAGTGGTTAACACACATTTAATGACAGATGGGATATAAGCTGAGTCCCAAAGGAACATGGAAATGTGAATAGCTTCAGAGAAAAAGGTGAGGAAAACAGGAAGAGGAGCTAAGAAGTGGGAATCTTTATGGTCAGTGGGGAGACTTCCTTGTATCACATTGGATGGTCACTCACTTCTTGTCCATCTTGCAGGCCAGCCTGAGAGCTCCTGGAGGGCAGGGGCTATCTTTTTCTTCTTTTTGCCTCTACATTTTGCACACACAGTGCAGACATTAACTAGGTGCTCCATATTTACAGAAATTCACTGCAGATGGTGTGTACTGAGAGCAGTAAAGCCAAGAGTAGAGTGAGGCTGGGTGTGTTGGAGTCAGGCTTTATTGAGAACTGAAAATTTGTGGAGCATGTATAATAACGTATATCGACAAAATTAAAGTTCTATTGGTCCATTTATTGTTGTATTACATGAAATGGCAGTTCCTGACATTTTGAAGGGTCTAGTTGGAATTATCTGACTTAAAATGCAGACTCTTTTAAAAACAGAAATTTCCTTTGGGTGCAATGAAATAAATCTCAAAGAAACAGGTGGCCAGCCCCCACAAGAGCAAAATCTGAAGTACAAGAGAAGCCTGGCTGTGGGTAAAGATACAGAGAATAGAGAAAACAAAAGTAATTTCAGATATAAGCTCCAAACCCAGAAGCACAAAGTCAGTCATCCAAATTGCAGCTATTGACTGGGGAGGAAGTATCTCAGATGGACAACTCTATTTAGCATATCCAGAGTGAGTAGCTACAGAGATGCATCCACTTAAAGATTTTCCTGCACAACCCTGGGGAAGCCAATTTGTTAATACTAATGTGAACAAGTTCATTTAGGAGACTTCTGCTAGAATTGGGCTTCTCCAGATCAGGATGAGGAAATTCCTATTGAGGCCAAATCTCTAGGAAGACTTTCAAGATTAGGTCATCTTTCTTCCCTCAAATCCTGCAAGAAAAAAAATATGTTTAGAAGGACCACGACCATATAGACAACTAGGCAAATGCCTAATTCTCCTCTGGAGATTATCCCAAGCCTGGGATAACATTATATGCAGAAAATATAGGCTGCTCCATTCACCTTTTTAAATACGGAGCAGTACGGAAAGCACTGGCTTGGAGGTCAGGACACCTGCCATCACTTGGGTGTGGCCTCAAATAAACCACTTCAGCGCTCAGGCTCTGAAGCTGCTCCTCTGAAAGCAGCTGAGTAAATGACTCTACCATGAGTATTCTTGACAGACAATAGGTACATGTAGTTCTGGTTAAGTTTTTGTTTAATTAGGGACAGAATTTTTCCAAAAGCATATAAATGCTCAGCCGAGTGTTTTCAGGAAAAGAGAGATGAGAGAGGTGGCAGTTTGCCATAGAGTACAGAAATACGAAGAGAGACATGTCTAAGATAAGAGTGGTTCTTAGAAGATGGAATAATGTTCCCCAGAGATGTCCATGTTCTAATCTTCAGAATTTGTGACTATGACAAAGGGGACTCTGCAGAGGTGATTAAGTTAAGAATCTTGAGATGAGGAGATTATCCTGGATTAGAGAATAGATTTGATATAATTACAAGGATCCTTAGAACAGGGGAGCAGGGGATCAGAGAGGAGAGAAGATACTATGTTGCTGGTTTTGAAGAAGGAAAGAATCACAAGTCAAGGAATGCAGGTGACCTCTAAATTCTAGAGGCTGGAAAAGGCAAGGAAATAGACTGTCCCTGGAACTTCCGGAAGGTACACAGCCCTGCAGACTCAGAGCTGTAAAATATCAAATCTGTCATTTTTGGCCACTACATTTGTAGCCATTTGTTACAGCAGCCAGAGGGACCTAATACAAGAGGGAATTGTGTGAGATATGTGATAGCATTTCTCTATTTTGCCAGAAAGGCTTCCATTTCCTTCAGTATCTTAGGAGTCCAGTTAGTGTTCTGTCTTGAGTGTAAGGACATGCTGAGATGGGCATCCAGCCAGAGTGGGTGCAGATTGTCTTCTGGGGGCTCAGATTACACATGGCATGAAGGTGCCAGGCTGGATGATCTCAAATACAAATATTTTATGATCTCATCATTTCAGAATGGCCTCTACAATCACATTTGGGATGAGGAGACCAGAATTTTTGTGCAAAAAGCCACCTTATGCATCTCTCATGAGTACACTTTGCAACTATAGTGTTGCATTAAAAAGTCCCTATCAACATTTTCTAAATGAGAAAATAGAAACCTTAGCAAGCTGTGGCTTACTCAAGTCTCACCCATAGCTTGTCCTACGGGACTGGGACAAAACCTCCGGTCTCCTGATTCATGAGTACAGAGTATTCACTCTATATTCATGGTATGATAGTGTGCTCTCACTTTTCAGTGTTAATTTTGGAAATCTGCATGTATTTAGAAATGACCTATGGGCCCATCAGACTTCCCAATAACTTTTGTATGCAGTTAAACTCCAAGTAACTGGAAGGTTTGGGAAATATGTTCTAACTAATTAACTTTTCTGGCTAATCAAATATGAACCAGAAAAAATATTGCTATATCAGTCTTCCATTCAAAGTTTTTCTAAACTTTTATGGTTCACTCTTCTTCTTTGGCAAGCAAAGCATTGCAAACAGCTTATGATCTACTTCTGCTAATTACCAAGTCTCTTACGGTCTCTTAGCTATATTTGGGGCATTGGTCACATTTTCAATACCTACACTTATAGGTTGCTTTGTGGTTTCCAAACTGCATCCACAAGCATCATCTCATTAAATCCTCATGACAGGTTTACAAGGTAACTATTATTTCTCCTGTATTTCAGATAATAAAACTGACGCTCAGGGATTTTAAGATACAAACCCAAGGTCACACAGCAGAGTCAAAGCCCAGACCTCACTGTTCAGACTTCAAACCCAGTATCTCTGTAGACACAGCGGGTATTGTTGATTTCCTGAATCTATCTCAGCCGTCTAATATACCCATGTATCAGTCAGGATCCCAGCAGGAAGCACGTGGCACACTCAAGCCTGGTATTTTGAGGAAAGTTAGTGAAAAGAACTGTTAATATATATAAAGATGAGGGCAGTGGGCAGAGAAATCATGAGGCAAAATGCAGTTCCAAGGGCTAGAAACATGAGTACTACCCACTGCCTGAAATGACAGGGGGGATAAAGAAAGAATTATCAGAACCAGAGAGAGTTAGGGCTATGTGGAGAGGGCCACCTGGCTGGAGCCACAGCCAACCCACAGTGACCTGGCAAAGGGAAGCTAGGGATAAACACCTGGCCTGCCTCTCTTCCATCCTCCTGATCACCTGCTGGTGCCTCCCATTGACCAATCCAACCAGAGGGCAAGGGAGCATGTCAGCTCCCCAGGACACAGCCAGTGGGCTGCTGGGTGGATCTGGAAGGACAAGCAAAGGACACTCGCACTCCCTGAAGCTGCCTTGTGCCTAAATTCCTGATATTCTGTAGATTACAATAATTTATTTTATGGCCATAACAGCTACCATTGAACTAAACACACACCGGGAACTCATTAAATACTTTTGCAATGATTAATACAAATTCTTAAATCTTTTATGGTGGCATAGAAGGATTAACTGGTTTTTGGTATTATTTGTCCCTTCTAACAGAGAGGTTTCCCAGTAATATCTGATTAATGAAGAGTTTTTCATTTCCTGAACTCTGGTTTTGTTAATATTATCTTATATACAATGAATAACACATGACACCAAGCAGAGACCTGAGACCCTAACCTGGGAGACCCTGATCTGCGGGAGAAGAGTGGAAGGTGATGCCAGACTGTGGCCACACATGCAAGGACACCTAGCCCCAAGCAAAGACCTGAGGCACCGGACCTGAGGTCCATGGAAAAGGAGAGGAGAAGGTGATGTCAAACTGTGATACCCTCCCTGACTGGGGCATCGAAGGAGAAACGTGGTGTCTCAACGCTCAGTAACCAATCTCTGAACAAGCCTATCCTTCCTTCTCCAAGTAGATGCTCTTGAGAGTGTTTTCACCACAGTTTCCAACAAATATATACACAGAGAGTATTCGCAACTCTGGAGTGTTGACAAACAGGGGAGCAGAATGGGAAACTATTTGTGTCAGTAGAAATATTGTCCCAGACCAGGTAAAAATCAATTGTTTTCATAAGTTTTTTTTAAAGAATTATTTCAAGCAAACAAAATTAAACAGGTTTCTCTTTATTTTGTTCTGCCTGGTGTTGGAAGCAGATGAATTTTTAATTTACCTATTTACAGGCAATCATTATTTATATCTTTAAAGAATTAATTGTGGAAATGCAGGAATGAACACATCAGAGTCTTAAGTTTCTTCCTCAGATGTACAGATATCTGCCCATTTCAGAGAAAACAGCCTCAGAAGAAAAATATAATTGCTTTGCCTAGTGCATAGTAAGGGATCAGTGACATATCATCAAAACTGTTTACATCCTCCTTCATAAGAAAAGTGCACAACTTCGCCCTGTGCCATGTGACTCACCTGCCTTCAATGGGAGGAGGACACTTCTCACCCCACTAACTTTGGGCTTGGTCATATGACTTACTTTAGTTAATGGAAAGTCAGTGGAACTGCCAGTTCCCAGCACAAGCAGTAGAGACATTTTACATTTCCACCAGTTGTGCCACGAAAGAGCAGCATGCATCAGATAGGGATTGCTCCTTCAGCCTGAATCCTGGAATAAGAAGGCGTGTGGAGTAGACTCCCAGTCCAGATTGGGGAAAAGATCTGAAGCCGATCCACTGTCTGGAGTACAGCCACAGCAAGAGACAAACATCACCATTGTAATATTCAAATTTGGGGTTGTTTGTTACTACAGCAAAAGCTGATTAATATACTCAATAACTTTTTAGAAACAAACAAACAAAAAAAACCAACAAGCTTTGAAAAGGAAGCTTAATTGGTGCAATCTTATTTGCATAGCTAAAATATGCAGTCATTATAGATTCATAGTCCCCTTTAAAGATATTCCAAGTAAAACGAAGTTGGCTGTGTCTGAGACTCCACATACAATATAAACAGGCTAGCACATCATTAAATAATATGGTAGGTAATCAAAAAATATTTGAAGTGGGTTTGATCAAACACTCAGCAAAGATACAACTGAAAAAATTAGCCATCTGAAAATCAGGAACCCTGGTTTTAAAGCCAATCGTACATCTAAGTGAATTTGTCAGGCACCAACACTGCATGATTTAAGAGGCACGTGCTTGTGCACACATGTGTGTGCGTGCACACACACACACCACACACACACACACACACACACACACACTGGGCCAGATGGATCAAAAACATCTCCCTTACCACTCTGTCATGGTCCAAAAGTGTCAACCATGATAAGCTGCAGCCTATTCAAGAAGTACAAATCAGAATGTGGTTGATCTAGAAGCTATAACATGTGAGGCACTGTTGATCGCAGAAGAAATTGAAGATGTTTAGTCTAGGAAAGATAAGACTCCAAGATATATGTTAGTTGCTATCAAAAACTTGAAGACTTATCCCATAAGCAGATTAACTCTAATCTGTATAGATACAGAGAGCAAAACTGCAGACAACAGAAGAGAGTTACTGGGACACACATCACAGTTCAGTTTACCAGGATATTCTGTCAGAGCTGAGCAGACCCTGAGATTAAGACGCATCTGGCCTGTACCTGGCCACGTAGTATAAAGTCAGAGTGGCTGACATGCAAGCACATCCCCAGTTATGGTGCAAACATAAAGCCGTATCTGGTGAGCTTGGAAGGAGTAGAAGAGCAAGGACTTCAGGAGAGGATCCACCATCAAAGCTTATGCTAGCTGAGTGAGCCAGAGTAAGCCACAGGCATAAAAGTCAGAAGGGGATCATGTTTTCAGGGATGGGGTGGCAACTGAAGGTGAACCTACCATGGTCTAGCCATCCCAAAGGTATGTGTGCATCTTGGGGAAAAAAGTCAAAAGTATAGAAGAATGAGAGGAGGCATAACACCCAAAGGCCTAAGCAAATCTGCTGAAGGCCCCTTTAGATAAAGGAAAACAGGAAAGAGGAAAGCCGTTCTCCACAAGTTTGAGAAAGGTAAATAAGAATCCCTTGGAGTGGAAGTACCAGGTGCACAGGCTGCAGCCAGGAGAAACCCAGGGGAGGTTCAACAGAAAAAAGCCCTGATTAAGGACTTGGCATCAGGCCAAGGGCCCTCTGAGAGCTGCCTAAGGAGGTGAAGGTGGTGGGAAGGGTGTCAGTAGCAGGGAACAACAACAACAAAAAAAAAAAAACACCTGGTCAGGGGCCACAGCAGGGTGATGCTAGCTAACGCTCCCACAGCATGCACTATACGCCAGGCGCGGTACTAAAAGCTCTACACGTATTAGCTCTTCCACTCCTCACCACAACCCTGTGAGCTAGGTACCACTGTGATCCCATTTTACAAATGGCAAAACTGACGCATAGTGAGGTTTGCCCAAGGTCACTTAGTTAGTAAAGGCAGAGGCAGAATTTGCATGCAGGGCACCTGGTTCCTGAATTGTGTTCTTAACCCAGAGCCAGGAGCTCAGCCCAGAGGAAGAAAAGCAGGGAGGTGGTGAGAGGGTTAGCCAAGACCTGGATGCGGGAGTGGGCAGAGACCTCAGAAGGGTCCTCAGATCCCACAGTCACCAGGTGGGGCTCAGAAAACCAGGCAACGTTTACTCTAACTGCAGCCTCATTTTTCCTGGGGACATCAATTAAAAGAATCTTGTAGCAATCCTAACTGTCCCACCACGTGAAAGGGCTGCTTCTATCAGCCAATGTTCCCTGCGGCCCAGATGTTCCAGAAAAAGCTGGACAACTACTCATCGAGTGTGTCATGAGGGATTTTTGTAGTCCCTTAGCATATTTGCAAAATCAGGCAGGAATGATTACTGGCTGTTTACTGTTTTGTTAGCCTTCGTTTCCTTCCTCTCCTCACCTCCAAAGGCAGTCTCTAGCCTAATTCGATAATCCTACTCATTCAGTGAACTACTCAACTGTAATTATTTGCATCCTGAAACAAACCTGCTTTTATCATCATTATCCTTGGAGCCCACTGAACCCTCGAGCATGCCAGCAAGCACCACAATGATGACTCTCTTCTCCCAGAGGCCCTGTAAGCCTTCCTTAGTTATAGCTGTGAAGTATTTTGAGAAACCTGAATTAAAGTGCTAGAGAAAGCACAACACACATTTATTGCTCATCTTGGAAAGACAACAGCAATGAGCTTCCAAAACTATATTTGATTAACATAATCTGGGGGTAATGAATATGGATATTGCCAATAGTCACCTAGAAGCATGTTTTCTTTTGTACATTTTGTTCTCTCCAGTACATTTCCTACCAAGAAAGGAAATGGTCCCAACTCCCTGTTTGCATCAATAAAGCAAGCACTCAGGGGAATTGCGTGAAGAGAATAGGACCAGGGGGCATTCTTGCCACCCTCAACCTTTGCTTTTGGTTGATTCTCCACATTTTCAATACGGTTTCTAATTACCAGGAATACGAAGTGCAAATAGAAGCCATCACTTTCATAAAAAGGCTGGTTTGTTTCTCGGTGTCCTTGTGACAGTTTCTGATGAAGGCTGAACAGGACAAGTAGCCCAGGAGATATCTCCAGACAGTGCCGCCTCCATAGTCATTGCCTGCCGAGGAGAGCTGTTAAGAGGCCCCATGACCTGCCCAGGGAAGGAAACCGGAAGTACCTGTCAGAGTAGTGGCCTCCTGTGGAAAACAGCAATATCTGGTTTTCCACACGGAGCATTTGTCATTATGCCTGGCATGGGGCAGGGAACCTCAATTCTGCTGTGCTAGCATAAGCTGGGGCATTTAAAGAACCCCTGTATATAGGCCATACTTCAGGCAAATTACATTAGAATTTTGGGGATGGGGCACAGGCACCAGCATTTCTGAAAGATCCTTGGGTATTTCCAACGTGCAACCAAGATGGAGAGCCACTGCCAAGGGTCTCAAGATGGGAAACCATTCACCACCCCTCAAAAGCGGGCATGAAGCCCACCTGCATTTACCACAGCCACAACCTGCCGCAGGGCCTCTCTCCTCGATTCCAGCAGCGCACAGCTTGTGAGGTTCTCCTGGAGCCGGCTGACAATTTTTCTCCCTCCTGCATAGTGTCCTGTGTACAGGCACTGCCCTGGCTGCAGAGTCCCACTGGCTTATAGATCTCTGCTTACTTGTCGGCCTCCCCGCTGCAGCAGGTCCACACCCCTCGCCTTTTTACATCCATCCCGGGCTGCCTTAAAGGATCCCAGGGCCCAAGATTCTGCCGCAGCTACAATGAGCTTTTAGAAAGTAAGTCATCTCATATTGCTCACCTGAATAAAAGCCTCCAAGGGCTTCTCACTGCACTAAATATCCAAATCACATCCCTGTTATCTTGGCTGACCAGCCCCCTGGCAGTCTGACCTCTGCGCATCTTAAGCAAGAGAGCCCCACGGAGCCCAGGGCCAAGCTCTGGCTCTGGTGACTTTGGGTAAGTGACTGCCCTTCTCCCGGCCTACTTTGCCTCATCTGTAAAGGGAGATATGTTGTGAGGATTTAATTAGTCAACACGACACTCAAATCCTCCTCCTTACCCCATACCAGTCTCACTTAGATCCCAGCAGATGCAACACCCGCTCTATCCTCTTGAACCACAATGTGAGGAGCATTTCCCTGACATCTGGTACAACTGGCTTCTTTGCACCACTCAGGAGCCAATGCCATGTCCACAGAGACCTTCCCACCCCTTTATCACCCCCATTTTATTTCCTCTAAGCCTGTACTAGTTTGCTAGGGCTGCCATAACAAAGTATTGTGTTGGTGCAAAAGTAATTGCGGTTTTTGCAATTTGTGCTTTACTGCAATTACTTTTGTGCCAACCTAATACCACGGTCCATGTGGCTTAAGCAATAGAAATGTATTGTCTCACCATTCTGGAGTCTAGAAATCCAAGACTAAGGTGTCAGCAGGGTTGGCTTCTTAGAGCTATGAGGAAGAATCCGTTCCCTGCCTCTTTTCTAGCTTCTGGTGTTTTCGTGGCAATCTGAGGCATCCCTTTGCTTGTAGAGGCATAACCCCCATGTCTGTTCTCCCTGTGTGTGTGACTTTGTTTACAAATTTCCCCTTTTTATAAGGACATCAGTCATATGGACTAAGGGCCCATTCTACTTTGGTATGACCTCCCCCCAACTAATTTCATCTATAATGATATTATTTCCATATACAGTCACATTCTGAGGTGTGGTGGCTAGGACTCCAACATTCTAATTTGGGGGGGCCATGATTCAGCCCATAACACAGTCTGTATCCCTCTCTGAAACTGACTGATTTTATCTGTCAGCCTGTGTATTGCCTCCTCCCTCTTCACCAAACGTCAGCACCATGACAGCAGGACTTTGAATGTCTCATTTGCCACAGCAACTGCTACCTAAGGCTGGGCTGACACAGAGAAGATGCTTTGTATAGTTTCTTGAACGGATGAATTAAAACTAAAGCAACAGGCCAATTTTCTGAATAAAAACACTGAAGCCACAATAGTGAAGCTACTACTCAGTTATTAAAAATGATGTTTCCATAACTATTGATGTGGGAAAACATTCTAACATATTGTTAAGCAAAACAAGAAAGTTTCAAATCAGAATAAATGATATAACATTTATAAAACACACACACATATATATATGTCCATTCAAATAGGTGTGTAGTTACATAGAAAAGGGTCTGAAAGAATATAAATCAAGTTGTAGCTAGCTGGGTGGTATCTTATTTACTCATGTGGTTCTTTGTTGTTTATATTGTCTGACTTTTCTGCAATAGATATGCGATGTTTGTGTAAAAAGAGAAATAATAAAGGCCAAGCTTTTCAGGGAAAAACAAAAATAAACCCTCTCACTTGCAGTGTGATTTGGCGTCCACTATCTCTCATCCCAGGCTGCAAGCTCCATGGGAGCAGGGACTATGTCTTTGCATCTACAAGCCTCACGCCATGCTTGGCACATAACAGGTGTTCCTTATATGCTGGCTGAGTGGAAATAAATAGACACGTGGATTCATGTCCCCACAAGACCTCAACCAAAGCAGTTGTTCTAGCGGCCTTCTCGGTAAACATATGGTATATTTTCTTGCCAATACGAAAATCTTTAGAAGAAGAAAGAGGAGAGGAGGAAGGGGACGTGGAAGGGAGGAATGCAGACACTCTAGCCTGTTAAATATCTCTGGCGTGTTATCCAACTATAGTGATATCTAAGGTGTTGTCAAGAATAAAAACACAGCACGAAGCCACACTGTCAAAGCTAGGAAAAAATTAAACCAGAAAGGCTGTCACCCAAACCTGTGAACCAAACAGCCACATTTCACCTGATTCTTCTAATTAGCGTTTGAAAAGCCTTTAGAAGCAGACAAGTGCTACATTAAGTGCTTAGTATTCATTAATACTATGAGTAGATGAGGTAGGCAGGTACTTACTGATTATATAAATGTCCTGAGCTTGTCAGTACAGTATTTGGAATCAACGTCTGGCTATACTTCAAAAATTCTATACATTTATGAGTTTTATAAATTTTATACAGTTTTTATAAATTTTCTCCAGCTTCCGGCTTCCAAAGAATGTAGCTTCATATATTTGCAGTTCCTAATTTACTAAACTTTAGAAATTACCTAACACTGTAGTTCTTAATTCTATCAGATCCAACACCCCTTTTTATAATAAATACTTTGTCATACCTCCTTTTAGTATCCTGAAGTGAAATTATTGATCATCTACCTATATACAACATATTTCAGTGTGTAAATACCCAGGCATATCCAAATGACGGTGTCAAATGCTTGCACTATGTGAAAAATCACCGCAAACGTGCCAGTTCCAGATGGCAGGCTGTTCCAGGGTGCAGCATGAGAAATGCAATACCACGGGTGGCATTCCCATGGGGTCCTTGGTTTTCTGAAAGGGCAAACAACTCCTCTTAAGTTCCAAACTAAATACATTATAATCTTCCTTTGATTTATTCTATAGTTGTATTCCTGGAAAATTCAATTTACTTGTATATTAAGGCTATCCAAAATATCCTATGAGTTTATATGTAAAAGAGAGTGAGTTGACAGGCTCAGATCATCATCACCAGGATTTTTATCTACAGGAAAGTCAAGCAAAATATCTAAAAGTTGTGTGACAACATCCTACACAACTCACATCTCAGGTTCCCCCCAGATGCCAGGAGTACTCCCCACCATTCCAATGTTTGAGAGTAAAAAAAATTCCCAAAACATTTTTTATTTCATTTGGGAGCCAAGTGCCAAAATAACCCATGGGGTGGCATGGCCCCTCTTAAGACTCATGGATCTAATTTTACATTTTTATGTTAAAAAACATGTAGATATCATGTCCCCTCAAAATATGCCCAAGAATCACAGACCAAGTATTGGCAAAGTAAGAGGTAGTTAGAGTTGAGATGGATGAGCACTTTCCATACGCCAGGCATTTTCTTAAGCTCCTTATGGACGTCACTCATCTAATCTTCACATCAACACTAGGAGAGAGACTTTATTGTCCCATTGGACAGCTGAGACTGAAACACAGACATGGCTTACCCAAGACCACAGAGCAGTAAGTGGCAGAGCTCTAACTCAGACCATCCTCATCAGGATGACTGTGCAACACAGTGCACGCGCCGGCAGTCCTTTAGGACTGGAGAGAAGAGCAAGGAGAGTGGAACCATGGAACCCTTCCGTGTTATGAGCACACGGGTAGACCAGTTCTACCAGTTCAGGACATTAACCTCCAACCATCCCCGCAAGTCAAGGTTTGTTTCTCACTCGGTCTCATCTTCTGCTTTCTTGTGTTTTTCCTGCAGACATTCATGCCCAGGAGAAGGCTGCACTGGGTCCCTCTGGGCCTTTCCTAAAAGGGAGATCCCTGTTCACTAGATGAGTTCCAGAACCATCCACTAAGGCTTTGTAGCCCCCTTCCATCAGCTGACCTTCACTGCATCCCCTATCGCTCAAGATGAGTGGCTTCTTCACCTCGCTGGACCCCCGGCGGGTGCAGTGGGGAGCTGCCTGGTATGCAATGCACTCCAGGATCCTACGCACCAAACCAGTGGAGTCCATGCTAGAGGGAACTGGGACCACCACGGCACATGGAACTAAGCTAGCCCAGGTACTCACCACAGTGGACCTCATCTCTCTTGGCGTTGGCAGCTGTGTGGGCACTGGCATGTATGTGGTCTCTGGCCTGGTGGCCAAGGAAATGGCAGGACCTGGTGTCATTGTGTCCTTCATCATTGCAGCCGTCGCATCCATATTATCAGGTAAGTGTCTCCATGCAGGGAAGTACTGTGGAAAGTGTGCTTACCAGCCTGGTCACTGTTCATCCCCTTTCTCCGGAGTATTTAGTGGTGAGATGTATGAAGTGGCAGAAAAGTGGATCATCATGCTCTTTTTTGCCTTGACTGCCAGGGAGGTTAGGGCCAGGTTTTGACTTAATTATAGTAGCTTCCTTTTTTTTTTTTCTTTTTCTTTTCTTTCTTTCTTCTTTTTTTGAGATGGAGTCTTGCTCTGTCGCCCAGGCTGGAGTGCAGTGGCATGATCTCAGCTCACTGAAACCTCCACCTCCTTGGTTCAAGCAATTCTCCTGCTTCAGCCTTCTGAGTAGCTGGGATTATAGGCGCCCGCCACCACGCCCGGCTAATTTTTGTATTTTTAGTAGAGACGGGGTTTCACCATTTTGGCCAGACTGGTCTCAAACTCCTGACCTCAACTAATCCACCTGCCTCGGCCTTCCAAAGTGCTGGAATTACAGGCATGAGCCACCGCGCCTGGCCTTCTTTTTTGTTGTTGTTGTTTGTTTTCTGGGTTTTTTTTTTTTAAACAGAGTCTTGCTCTGTCGCCCAGACTGGAGTGCAATAGCGCGATCTCGGCTCACTGCAACCTCCACCTCCCGGGTTCAAGCGCTTCTTCTGCTTTAGCCTCAGCCTCCTGAGTAGCTGGGATTAAAGGTGCGTACCACAACGCCTGGCTAATTTTTGTACTTGTAGTAGAGCCAGGGTTTCACCATGTTGGCCAGGCTGCTGTCGTACTCCTGACCCCGCACTTTGGGAGGCTGAGGTGATCCGCCCGCCTCGGCCGCGGCAAGTGCTGAGATAACAGGCGTGAACCTCCGCTCCCGGCCTATTTTTTCAATACAGAGAATTATTCTGGTTCTCATACACCTCCCAGCTTCTCATTCCCTGTCACGTTCTAATGGCTCTGTTTTTATTTTAACTCTCCTTTACACCGGAAGATAGGTCAATCCTCTTGAGGGACAGTGGAAGGATACAGCTAAGATATAAATAATAAAGATAGGCAGAGCAGCAAAATGACAAGTCAGTAAATCTGATATGATTGGGATTTGATAAACCTCAAACTGGCATCGAGCCCCCAAGGAGAAGGAAGCCAGGCCAGGAGATTTAAAGCCCTTGTGAGAATCACAATGCGCCATCTGCCACAAACACCTCCACAGATTTATAGTCCACAGAGACAGGTCCACTAGCAGCTCCTTGTCTCCCCTTGAGAAAGAATCATAAAACTCATTTTTAAAAATAAGGTGCAAGGACTCACATGCCGATACTTTGTAAAAATGGCTCTCCTATTGCCTTTTCCTCTTCCTTCCTTTTCTCTTGAGTAGCAATCTACGGTATCTTCCCAGAATTGCTGGAGTAGGCCAATGGACAACTTGAGAAAGGAAAACCTCCGGCTTTTTGCAAAAGCATGAGGCTTTTCTGGGTTTTAGGGTGGCAGATCATGTGGGCCAACCCATGTACTGACAGCAAATGTCTTGGTCTCTTCGAATATTTCAGGAGAAGTGGGAATTCTAACTTATATTGGGAATTCTGTGTACCAATGCGTGCTATCATAAGAAAAGCATTACATTAATATCATACGTGTAGAATAAATAGTGCTCACATAGGACACAAAGACAGACTACAAGCATGCAACCAGAAAGTGTGCTGGTTTGTATTTAACGTCTCTTTAATTTGATAAGGAAAATAAGCTGAGTTTATTAACCTCCTGTCATGTCTTCTCTTTCCTGTTGGTTTTACCATTTATCCCCTTCTCCTGAAGTTATCCTCTCATAAGCACTAATACACTAATAGTTGAGGTTTCTTCAGAATTGAGGAGTTTTCTCTCCTATTGATGAAAATAAATTACTCACATGGATGAATTTTGGGAATACTTGCAATTCTATTAATGTGATAGCAATTACCTCCAAACTTTTTTGACAGAGAAATTGACTCACCATGAGTTTCTAGATCTAAACATGTTATCATGTGGAACAAAATGTGGATAGTAGGACAAAAGGCAGCCATATACCCAAAGGGTTCCACAGAAGGCACAGGGCCAGTGCATCAGATTAATGAAGACTACACAGTTTTCAATAGATCTCATCCATTTTGACCCAGTCTCCCAGACCACAGTGATTTTTGTGAATGAATTACCTGTGTCTTATTCTTCACAGGATACATTACATCTGGAAACCAGAGCCTGCCACCTACCCCCATCACAGTGCTCATGAGCAGTATATAATCTAGACTTTTCCACTGCTCACATGGAGAGCCTGAAATTGGTCCAGACTGTGTTATGCTGGAGCCAGCTCACACCAGCTGCCAAGAGTACTAATGGTGCATACCTCTTTCCAGCTTTACATTCAATGATGTCATGCTGTTAACTTGGCATCAGCTATGGAGGGCCTATGTGTTTGTTGTTGTTACCATTGTTCAGAGAATTAGTTGTTAAACCTTTACCAGCACATCACTAGGCCACCTCCACTAAAGACCCTGGTCCTGCCCAGTAATTGAGGCCTTCACCACAGCACCAAGCACAAGAAGAAAAAACCCTACCTCTCCCCAAAACAGGATTCCTCCTCTCCACATAACACTTCTCTATACTGTATGACTGACTTATCTAGCCACTGAGGCCATTTGGAATCCTCCCAGAGCCCCTAGTCAGGCCAGGACCAAAATATCATAACTTATGCCAATGTTAGCATATTTATAGCAGGTTTCTTCAAGCAGGCCTCTCACTCTTATGATTGTTGGTCACTAAACTAAAGGAAGTGCTGCTCCAGTGTCTTTTTTCCACTTTCACATCATCATCCCCATATTGTTTCACCTTTGGCAAAACTTCCCACTGCTTCTCCATACAACAAT